>NC_000010.11:39686682-39935900 GCF_000001405.40 Homo sapiens
AGAGTTCTCAGTAACTTGTTTGTGTTGTGTGTATTCAACTAACAGAGTTGAACCTTCCTTTAGAAAGAGCAGTTTTCAAACACTCTGTTTGTGCAATTTCCAATGGAGATTTCTAGGGATTTGAGGCCAGTCTTAGAAATGGAAATATCTTTGTATAAAAACTAGACAGTGTCATTCTGAGATACTACCTTGTGATGTGTGCGTTCAACTCACAGAGTTTAACCTTTCTTTTCATAGAGCAGTTTGGAAACACTCTATTTGTAAAGTCTGCAAGTGGATATTTGGACCTCTTTGAGGCCTTTGTTGGAAACGCGATTTCTTCCTATAATGCTAGAGAGAAGTATTCTCAGTCACTTCTTTGTGTTGTGTGCATTCAACTCAGGGATTTGAACCTTCCTTTAGAGAGAGCACATTTGAAACACTCTTTTTGTGTAATTTGCTAGTGCAGATTTCAAGCTCTTCGAGGACAATGGTAGAAAAGGAAATATCTTCGTATGAAAACTAGACAAACTCATTCTCAGAAACTACTTTGTGATGTGTGCGTTCCACTCACAGAGTTTAACCTTTCTTTTAATTGAGCTGTTTGGAAACACTATTTTTGTAAAGTCTGCAAGTGGATATTTGGACTTCTTTGAGCCCTTCGTTGGAAAGGGGACTTCTTCATATAATGCTAAACAGAAGAGTACTCAGTAACTTCTTTGTGCTGTGTGTATTCAACTCACAGAGTTGAACTTTTCTTTAGACAGAGCAGATTTGATACTCTCTTTTCGTGGCTTTTGCCAGAGGAGATTTCAAGTCATTGGAGGCCAATGGTAGAAAAGAAAATATCTTCGTATAATAACTAAACGGAATCATTCTCAGAAACTTCTTTGTGATGTGTGCGTTCAACTCACAGAGTTTAACCTTTCTTTTCATAGAGCAGGTTGGAAGCACTCTTTTTGTAAAGTCTGCAAGCAGATATTTGGACCTTTTCGAGGCCTTCGTTGGAAACGGGATTTCTTCATATACTGCTAGACCGAGGAATTCTCAGTAACTTCTTTGGGTTGTGTGTATTCAATTCACAGCGTTGAACCTTTCTTTAGACCGAGCAGATTTGAAACTCTCCTTTCGTTGCTTTTGCAAGTGGAGATTTCAAGCGATTTGAGGCCAATTGTAGAAAAGGAAATATCTTCGTATAAAAACTAGACAGAACAATTCTCAGAAACTGCTCTGTGATTTGTGCGTTCAACTCACAGATTTTAAACTTTCTTTTCATAGAGCAGTTTGGAAACACTCTTTTTGTAAAGTCTGCAAGCGGATATTTGGACCTCTTTCAGGCCTTCTTTGGAAACGGGATTTCTCCATATACTGCTAGCCCAAAGCATTTTCAGTAACTACTTTGTGTTGTGTGTATTCAACTCACAGATTTGAACCTTTCTTTAGACAGAGCAGATTTGAAACGCTCTTTACGTGGCTTTTGCAAGTAAAGATTTCAAGCGATTTGAGGCCAATGGTAGAAAAGGAAATATCTTCGTATAAAAACTAGACAGAATCATTCTCAGAATCTACTTTGTGATGTGTGCGTGCAACTCACGGAGATTAACCTTTCTTTTCATAGAGAAGTTTGGAAACACTCTGTCTGTAAGGTCTGCAAGTGGATATTTAGATTTCTGTGAGGCCTTCGTTGCAAACGGGATTTCTTCATATACTGCCCGACAGAAGAATTCTCAGTTACTACTTTCTGTTGTGTGCATTCAACTCACAGAGTTGAACCTTCCTTTATTCAGAGCAGTTTTGAAACACTCTTTTTGTGGCATTTGCAAGTGGAGATTTCAAGGGATTTGAGGCCAATCTTAGAAATGGAAATATCTTCGAATTAAAACTACGCAGAATCGTTCGCAGAAACTTGTTTGTGATGTGTGCGTTCAACTCACAGAGTTTAACGTTTCTTTTCATAGAGCAGTTTGGAAACGCTCTCTTTGTAAAGTCTCCAAGTGGATATTTGGAGCTCTTTGAGCCCTTCGTTGGAAACGGGACTTCTTCATATAACGCTAGACAGAAGAATACTCAGTAACTTCTTTGTGCTGTGTGTATTCAACTCACAGAGTTGAACTTTTCTTTAGACAGAGCAGATTTGATACTCTCTTTTCATGGGTTTTGCCAGAGGAGATTTCAAGTCATTGGAGGCCAATGGTAGAAAAGAAAATATCTTCGTATAAAAACTAGACAGAATCATTCTCAGAAACTTCTTTGTGATGTGTGCGTTCAACTCACAGAGTTTAACCTTTCTTTTCATAGAGCAGGTTGGAAGCACTCTCTTTGTAAAGTCTGCAAGCAGATATTTGGACCTTTTTGAGGCCTTCGTTGGAAACGGGATTTCTTCATATACTGCTAGACCGAAGAATTCTCAGTAACTTCTTTGGGTTGTGTGTATTCAATTCACAGAGTTGAACCTTTCTTTAGACCGAGCAGATTTGAAACTCTCCTTTCGTTGCTTTTGGAAGTGGAGATTTCAAGCGATTTGAGGCCAATTGTACAAAAGGAAATATCTTCGTATAAAAACTAGACAGAACAATTCTCAGAAACTGCTCTGTGATTTGTGCGTTCAACTCACAGATTTTAAACTTGCTTTTCATAGAGCAGTTTGGAAACACTCTTTTTGTAAAGTCTGCAAGCGGATATTTTGACCTCTTTCAGGCCTTCTTTGGAAACGGGTTTTCTCCATATGCTGCTAGCCCGAAGAATTTTCAGTAACTAATTTGTGTTGTGTGTATTCAACTCACAGATTTGAACCTTTCTTTAGACAGAGCAGATTTGAAACGCTCTTTTCGTGGCTTTTGCAAGTAAAGATTTCAAGCGATTTGAGGCCAATGGTAGAAAAGGAAATATCTTCGTATAAAAACTAGACAGAATCATTCTCAGAATCTACTTTGTGATGTGTGCGTGCAACTCACGGAGATTAACCTTTCTTTTCATAGAGAAGTTTGGAAACACTCTGTCTGTAAGGTTTGCAAGTGGATATTTAGATTTCTGTGAGGCCTTCGTTGCAAACGGGATTTCTTCATATACTGTCCGACAGAAGAATTCTCAGTTACTACTTTCAGTTGTGTGCATTCAACTTACAGAGTCGAACCTTCCTTTATTCAGAGCAGTTTTGAAACACTCTTTTTGTGGAATTTGCAAGTGGAGATTTCAAGGGATTTGAGGCCAATCTTAGAAATGGAAATATCTTCGAATTAAAACTACACAGAATCATTCGCAGAAACTAGTTTGTGATGTGTGCATTCAACTCACAGAGTTTAACGTTTCTTTTCATAGAGCAGTTTGGAAACGCTGTCTTTGTAAAGTCTGCAAGTGGATATTAGGACCTCTTTGAGGCCTTCGTTGGAAACGGGATTTCCTCCTATAATGCTAGACAGAAGAATTCCCAGTCACTTCTTTGTGTTGTGTGCGTTCAACTCAGAGATTTGAACCTTCCTTTAGAGAGAGCACATTTAAAACACTCTTTTTGTGTAATTTGCTAGTGCAGATTTCAAGCTCTTCGAGGACAATGGTAGGAAAGGAAATATCTTCTTATTAAAACTAGACAAAATCATTCTCAGAAACTACTTTGTGATGTGTGCGTTCCACTCACAGAGTTTAACCTTTCTTTTAATTGAGCAGTTTGGAAACACTATTTTTGTAAAGTCTGCAAGTGGATATTTGGACTTCTTTGAGCCCTTCGTTGGAAACGGGATTTCTCCATATACTGCTAGACTGAAGCATTTTCAGTAACTACTTTGTGTTGTGTGTATTCAACTCACAGATTTGAACCTTTCTTTAGACAGAGCAGATTTGAAACGCTCTTTTCGTGGCTTTTGCATGTGGAGGTTTCAAACGATTTGAGGCCAATAGTAGAAAAGGAAATATCTTCGTATAAAAACTAGAGAGAATCATTCTCAGAAATTACTTTCTGATGTGTGCGTGCAACTCACGGAGATTAACCTTTCTTTTCATAGAGCAGATTGGAAAGACTCTGTCTGTAAGGTCTGCAAGTGGATATTTAGATTTCTGTGAGGCCTTCGTTGCAAACGGGATTTCTTCATATACTCACAGACAGAAGAATTCTCAGTAACTCTTTGTGTTGTGTGCATTCAACACACGGAGTTGAACCTTCCTTTATTCAGAGCAGTTTTGAAACACTCTTTTTGTGGAATTTGCAAGTGGAGATTTCAAGGGATTTGAGGCCAATCTTAGAAATGGAAATATCTTCGAATTAAAACTACACAGAATCGTTCGCAGAAACTAGTTTGTGATGCGTGCGTTCAACTCACAGAGTTTAACGTTTCTTTTCATAGAGCAGTTTGGAAACGCTCTCTTTGTAAAGTCTCCAAGTGGATATTTGGAGCTGTTTGAGCCCTTCGTTGGAAACGGGACTTCTTCATATAATGCTAGACAGAAGAATACTCAGTAACTACTTTGTGCTGTGTGTATTCAACTAACAGAGTTGAACTTTTCTTTAGACAGAGCAGATTTGATACTCTCTTTTCATGGGTTTTGCCAGAGGAGATTTCAAGTCATTGGAGGCCAATGGTAGAAAAGAAAATATCTTCGTATAATAACTAAACAGAATCATTCTCAGAAACTTCTTTGTGATGTGTGCGTTCAACTCACAGAGTTTAACCTTTCTTTTCATAGAGCAGGTTGGAAGCACTCTCTTTGTAAAGTCTGCAAGCAGATATTTGGACCTTTTTGAGGCCTTCTTTGGAAACGGGATTTCTTCATATACTGCTAGACCGAAGAATTCTCAGTAACTTCTTTGGGTTGTGTGTATTCAATTCACAGAGTTGAACCTTTCTTTAGACCGAGCAGATTTGAAACTCTCCTTTCGTTGCTTTTGCAAGTGGAGATTTCAAGCGATTTGAGGCCAATTGTAGAAAAGGAAATATCTTCGTACAAAAACTAGACAGAACAATTCTCAGAAACTACTCTGTGATGTGTGCGTGCAACTCACAGAGATTAACCTTTCTTTGCATACAGCAGTTTGGATAGACTCTGTCTGTAAAGTCTGTAAGTGGATATTTGGACATCTTTGAGGCCTTCGTTGGAAACGGGATTTCTTCATATACTGCTAGACCGAAGAATTCTCAGTAACATCTTTGGGTTGTGTGTATTCAATTCACAGAGTTGAAACTTTCTTTAGACTGAGCAGAGTTGAAACTCTCCTTTCGTTGCTTTTGCAAGTGGAGATTTCAAGCGATTTGAGGCCAATTGTAGAAAAGGAAATATCTTCGTATAAAAACTGGACAGAACAATTCTCAGAAACTGCCCTGTGATTTGTGCGTTCAACTCACAGATTTTAAACTTTCTTTTCATAGAGCAGTTTGGAAACACTCTTTTTGTAAAGTCTGCAAGCGGATATTTGGACCTCTTTCAGGCCTTCTTTGGAAACGGGATTTCTCTATATACTGCCAGCCCAAAGAATTTTCAGTAACTACTTTGTGTTGTGTGTATTCAACTCACAGATTTGAACCTTTCTTTAGACAGAGCAGATTTGAAACGCTCTTTTCGTGGCTTTTGCAAGTAAAGATTTCAAGCGATTTGAGGCCAATGGTAGAAAAGGAAATATCTTCGTATAAAAACTAGACAGAATCATTCTCAGAATCTACTTTGTGATGTGTGCGTGCAACTCACGGAGATTAACCTTTCTTTTCATAGAGAAGTTTGGAAACACTCTGTCTGTAAGGTCTGCAAGTGGATATTTAGATTTCTGTGAGGCCTTCGTTGCAAACGGGATTTCTTCATATACTGCCCGACAGAAGAATTCTCAGTAACTACTTTGTGTTGTGTAAATTCAACACACAGAGTTGAACCTTCCTTTATTCAGAGCAGTTTTGAAACACTCTTTTTGTGGAATTTGCAAGTGGAGATTTCAAGGGATTTGAGGCCAATCTTAGAAATGGAAATATCTTCGAATTAAAACTACACAGAATCATTCGCAGAAACTAGTTTGTGATGTGTGCGTTCAACTCACAGAGTTTAACCTTTCTTTTCATAGAGCAGTTTGGAAACGCTGTCTTTGTAAAGTCTGCAAGTGGATATTAGGACCTCTTTGAGGCCTTCGTTGGAAACGGGATTTCCTCCTATAATGCTAGACAGAAGAATTCCCAGTCACTTCTTTGTGTTGTGTGCATTCAACTTAGAGATTTGAACCTTCCTTTAGAGAGAGCACATTTAAAACACTCTTTTTGTGTAATTTGCTAGTGCAGATTTCAAGCTCTTCGAGGACAATGGTAGGAAAGGAAATATCTTCGTATTAAAACTAGACAAAATCATTCTCAGAAACTACTTTGTGATGTGTGCGTTCCACTCACAGAGTTTAACCTTTCTTTTAATTGAGCAGTTTGGAAACACTCTCTTTGTAAAGTCTGCAGTAGGATATTTGGACCTCTTTGAGGCCTTCGTTGGAAACGAGATTTCTTCATATAATGCTAGATAGAAGAATTCTCAGTAACTTGTTTGTGTTGTTTGTATTCAACTAACAGAGTTGAACCTTCCTTTAGAAAGAGCAGTTTTCAAACACTCTGTTTGTGCAATTTCCAATGGAGATTTCTAGGGATTTGAGGCCAGTCTTAGAAATGGAAATATCTTTGTATAAAAACTAGACAGTGTCATTCTGAGATACTACCTTGTGATGTGTGCGTTCAACTCACAGAGTTTAACCTTTCTATTCATAGAGCAGTTTGGAAACACTCTATTTGTAAAGTCTGCAAGTGGATATTTGGACCTCTTTGAGGCCTTCGTTGGAAACGGGATTTCTTCCTATAATGCTAGACAGAAGTATTCTCAGTCACTTCTTTGTGTTGTGTGCATTCAACTCAGAGATTTGAACCTTCCTTTAGAGAGAGCACATTTGAAACACTCTTTTTGTGTAATTTGCTAGTGCAGATTTCAAGCTCTTCGAGGACAATGGTAGAAAAGGAAATATCTTCGTATGAAAACTAGACAAACTCATTCTCAGAAACTACTTTGTGATGTGTGCCTTCCACTCACAGAGTTTAACCTTTCTTTTAATTGAGCAGTTTGGAAACACTATTTTTGTAAAGTCTGCAAGTGGATATTTGGACTTCTTTGAGCCCTTCATTGGAAACGGGATTTCTCCATATACTGCTAGACCGAAGCATTTTCAGTAACTACTTTGTGTTTTGTGTATTCAACTCACAGATTTGAACCTTTGTTTAGACAGAGCAGATTTGAAACGCTCTTTTCGTGGCTTTTGCATGTGGAGGTTTCAAACGATTTGAGGCCAATGGTAGAAAAGGAAATATCTTCGTATAAAAACTAGAGAGAATCATTCTCAGAAATTACTTTCTGATGTGTGCGTGCAACTCACGGAGATTAACCTTTCTTTTCATAGAGCAGTTTGGAAAGACTCTGTCTGTAAGGTCTGCAAGTGGATATTTAGATTTCTGTGAGGCCTTCGTTGCAAACGGGATTTCTTCATATACTCACAGACAGAAGAATTCTCAGTAACTCTTTGTGTTGTGTGCATTCAACTCACGGAGTTGAACCTTCCTTTATTCAGAGCAGTTTTGAAACACTCTTTTTGTGGAATTTCCAAGTGGAGATTTCAAGGGATTTGAGGCCAATCTTAGAAATGGAAATATCTTCGAATTAAAACTACACAGAATCGTTCGCAGAAACTAGTTTGTGATGTGTGCGTTCAACTCACAGAGTTTAACGTTTCTTTTCATAGAGCAGTTTGGAAACGCTCTCTTTGTAAAGTCTCCAAGTGGATATTTGGAGCTGTTTGAGCCCTTCGTTGGAAACGGGACTTCTTCATATAATGCTAGACAGAAGAATACTCAGTAACTTCTTTGTGCTGTGTGTATTCAACTCACAGAGTTGAACTTATCTTTAGACAGAGCAGATTTGATACTCTCTTTTCGTGGCTTTTGCCAGAGGAGATTTCAAGTCATTGGAGGCCAATGGTAGAAAAGAAAATATCTTCGTATAATAACTAAACAGAATCATTCTCAGAAACTTCTTTGTGATGTGTGCGTTCAACTCACAGAGTTTAACCTTTCTTTTCATAGAGCAGGTTGGAAGCACTCTCTTTGTAAAGTCTGCAAGCAGATATTTGGACCTTTTTGAGGCCTTCGTTGGAAACGGGATTTCTTCATATACTGCTAGACCGAAGAATTCTCAGTAACTTCTTTGGGTTGTGTGTATTCAATTCACAGAGTTGAACCTTTCTTTAGACCGAGCAGATTTGAAACTCTCCTTTCGTTGCTTTTGCAAGTGGAGATTTCAAGCGATTTGAGGCCAATTGTAGAAAAGGAAATATCTTTGTATGAAAACTAGACAGAACAATTCTCAGAAACTGCTCTGTGATTTGTGCGTTCAACTCACAGATTTTAAACTTTCTTTTCATAGAGCAGTTTGGAAACACTCTTTTTGTAAAGTCTGCAAGCGGATATTTGGACCTCTTTGAGGCCTTCGTTGGAAACGGGATTTCCTCCTATAATGCTAGACAGAAGCATTTTCAGTAACTACTTTGTGTTGTGTGTATTCAACTCACAGATTTGAACCTTTCTTTAGACAGAGCAGATTTGAAACGCTCTTTTCGTGGCTTTTGCAAGTAAAGATTTCAAGCGATTTGAGGCCAATGGTAGAAAAGGAAATATCTTCGTATAAAAACTAGACAGAATCATTCTCAGAATCTACTTTGTGATGTGTGCGTGCAACTCACGGAGATTAACCTTTCTTTTCATAGAGAAGTTTGGAAACACTCTGTCTGTAAGGTTTGCAAGTGGATATTTAGATTTCTGTGAGGCCTTCGTTGCAAACGGGATTTCTTCATATACTGTCCGACAGAAGAATTCTCAGTTACTACTTTCAGTTGTGTGCATTCAACTTACAGAGTCGAACCTTCCTTTATTCAGAGCAGTTTTGAAACACTCTTTTTGTGGAATTTGCAAGTGGAGATTTCAAGGGATTTGAGGCCAATCTTAGAAATGGAAATATCTTCGAATTAAAACTACACAGAATCATTCGCAGAAACTAGTTTGTGATGTGTGCGTTCAACTCACAGAGTCTAACGTTTCTTTTCATAGAGCAGTTTGGAAACGCTGTCTTTGTAAAGTCTGCAAGTGGATATTAGGACCTCTTTGAGGCCTTCGTTTGAAACGGGATTTCCTCCTATAATGCTAGACAGAAGAATTCCCAGTCACTTCTTTGTGTTGTGTGCATTCAACTCAGACATTTGAACCTTCCTTTAGAGAGAGCACATTTAAAACACTCTTTTTGTGTAATTTGCTAGTGCAGATTTCAAGCTCTTCGAGGACAATGGTAGGAAAGGAAATATCTTCGTATTAAAACTAGACAAAATCATTCTCAGAAACTACTTTGTGATGTGTGCGTTCCACTCACAGAGTTTAACCTTTCTTTTAATTGAGCAGTTTGGAAACACTCTCTTTGTAAAGCCTGCAGTAGGATATTTGGACCTCTTTGAGGCCTTCGTTTGAAACGGGATTTCTTCATATAATGCTAGATAGAAGAGTTCTCAGTAACTTGTTTGTGTTGTGTGTATTCAACTAACAGAGTTGAACCTTCCTTTAGAAAGAGCAGTTTTCAAACACTCTGTTTGTGCAATTTCCAACGGAGATTTCTAGGGATTTGAGGCCAGTCTTAGAAATGGAAATATCTTTGTATAAAAACTAGACAGTGTCATTCTGAGATACTACCTTGTGATGTGTGCGTTCAACTCACAGAGTTTAACCTTTCTTTTCATAGAGCAGTTTGGAAACACTCTATTTGTAAAGTCTGCAAGTGGATATTTGGACCTCTTTGAGGCCTTTGTTGGAAACGCGATTTCTTCCTATAATGCTAGACAGAAGTATTCTCAGTCACTTCTTTGTGTTGTGTGCATTCAACTCAGAGATTTGAACCTTCCTTTAGAGAGAGCACATTTGAAACACTCTTTTTGTGTAATTTGCTAGTGCAGATTTCAAGCTCTTCGAGGACAATGGTAGAAAAGGAAATATCTTCGTATGAAAACTAGACAAACTCATTCTCAGAAACTACTTGGTGATGTGTGCGTTCCACTCACAGAGTTTAACCTTTCTTTTAATTGAGCAGTTTGGAAACACTATTTTTGTAAAGTCTGCAAGTGGATATTTGGACTTCTTTGAGCCCTTCGTTGGAAACGGGATTTCTCCATATACTGCTAGACCGAAGCATTTTCAGTAACTACTTTGTGTTGTGTGTATTCAACTCACAGATTTGAACCTTTCTTTAGACAGAGCAGATTTGAAACGCTCTTTTCGTGGCTTTTGCATGTGGAGGTTTCAAATGATTTGAGGCCAATGGTAGAAAAGGAAATATCTTCGTATAAAAACTAGAGAGAATCATTCTCAGAAATTACTTTCTGATGTGTGCGTGCAACTCACGGAGATTAACCTTTCTTTTCATAGAGCAGTTTGGAAAGACTCTGTCTGTAAGGTCTGCAAGTGGATATTTAGATTTCTGTGAGGCCTTCGTTGCAAACGGGATTTCTTCATATACTCACAGACAGAAGAATTCTCAGTAACTCTTTGTGTTGTGTGCATTCAACTCACGGAGTTGAACCTTCCTTTATTCAGAGCAGTTTTGAAACACTCTTTTTGTGGAATTTGCAAGTGGAGATTTCAAGGGATTTGAGGCCAATCTTAGAAATGGAAATATCTTCGAATTAAAACTACACAGATTCGTTCGCAGAAACTAGTTTGTGATGTGTGCGTTCAACTCACAGAGTTTAACGTTTCTTTTCATAGAGCAGTTTGGAAACGCTCTCTTTGTAAAGTCTCCAAGTGGATATTTGGAGCTGTTTGAGCCCTTCGTTGGAAACGGGACTTCTTCATATAATGCTAGACAGAAGAATACTCAGTAACTTCTTTGTGCTGTGTGTATTCAACTCACAGAGTTGAACTTTTCTTTAGACAGAGCAGATTTGATACTCTCTTTTCGTGGCTTTTGCCAGAGGAGATTTCAAGTCATTGGAGGCCAATGGTAGAAAAGAAAATATCTTCGTATAATAACTAAACAGAATCATTCTCAGAAACTTCTTTGTGATGTGTGCGTTCAACTCACAGAGTTTAACCTTTCTTTTCATAGAGCAGGTTGGAAGCACTCTCTTTGTAAAGTCTGCAAGCAGATATTTGGACCTTTTTGAGGCCTTCGTTGGAAACGGGATTTCTTCATATACTGCTAGACCGAAGAATTCTCAGTAACTTCTTTGGGTTGTGTGTATTCAATTCACAGAGTTGAACCTTTCTTTAGACCGAGCAGATTTGAAACTCTCCTTTCGTTGCTTTTGCAAGTGGAGATTTCAGGCGATTTGAGGCCAATT
Source organism: Homo sapiens (assembly GCF_000001405.40). Taxonomy (NCBI): domain Eukaryota; kingdom Metazoa; phylum Chordata; class Mammalia; order Primates; family Hominidae; genus Homo; species Homo sapiens. Next base: position 39,698,030 of record NC_000010.11, read on the forward strand.
GTAGAAAAGGAAATATCTTCGTATAAAAACTAGACAGAACAATTCTCAGGAACTGCTCTGTGATTTGTGCGTTCAACTCACAGATTTTAAACTTTCTTTTCATAGAGCAGTTTGGAAACACTCTTTTTGTAAAGTCTCCAAGCGGATATTTGGACCTCTTTCAGGCCTTCTTTGGAAACGGGATTTCTCCATATACTGCTAGCCCGAAGAATTTTCAGTAACTACTTTGTGTTGTGTGTATTCAACTCACAGATTTGAACCTTTCTTTAGACAGAGCAGATTTGAAACGCTCTTTTCGTGGCTTTTGCAAGTAAAGATTTCAAGCGATTTGAGGCCAATGGTAGAAAAGGAAATATCTTCGTATAAAAACTAGACAGAAACATTCTCAGAATCTACTTTGTGATGTGTGCGTGCAACTCACGGAGATTAACCTTTCTTTTCATAGAGAAGTTTGGAAACACTCTGTCTGTAAGGTCTGCAAGTGGATATTTAGATTTCTGTGAGGCCTTCGTTGCAAACGGGATTTCTTCATATACTGCCCGACAGAAGAATTCTCAGTTACTACTTTCAGTTGTGTGCATTCAACTTACAGAGTTGAACCTTCCTTTATTCAGAGCAGTTTTGAAACACTCTTTTTGTGGAATTTGCAAGTGGAGATTTCAAGGGATTTGAGGCCAATCTTAGAAATGGAAATATCTTCGAATTAAAACTACACAGAATCATTCGCAGAAACTAGTTTGTGATGTGTGCGTTCAACTCACAGAGTCTAACGTTTCTTTTCATAGAGCAGTTTGGAAACGCTGTCTTTGTAAAGTCTGCAAGTGGATATTAGGACCTCTTTGAGGCCTTCGTTTGAAACGGGATTTCCTCCTATAATGCTAGACAGAAGAATTCCCAGTCACTTCTTTGTGTTGTGTGCATTCAACTCAGACATTTGAACCTTCCTTTAGAGAGAGCACATTTAAAACACTCTTTTTGTGTAATTTGCTAGTGCAGATTTCAAGCTCTTCGAGGACAATGGTAGGAAAGGAAATATCTTCGTATTAAAACTAGACAAAATCATTCTCAGAAACTACTTTGTGATGTGTGCGTTCCACTCACAGAGTTTAACCTTTCTTTTAATTGAGCAGTTTGGAAACACTCTCTTTGTAAAGCCTGCAGTAGGATATTTGGACCTCTTTGAGGCCTTCGTTTGAAACGGGATTTCTTCATATAATGCTAGATAGAAGAGTTCTCAGTAACTTGTTTGTGTTGTGTGTATTCAACTAACAGAGTTGAACCTTCCTTTAGAAAGAGCAGTTTTCAAACACTCTGTTTGTGCAATTTCCAATGGAGATTTCTAGGGATTTGAGGCCAGTCTTAGAAATGGAAATATCTTTGTATAAAAACTAGACAGTGTCATTCTGAGATACTACCTTGTGATGTGTGCGTTCAACTCACAGAGTTTAACCTTTCTTTTCATAGAGCAGTTTGGAAACACTCTATTTGTAAAGTCTGCAAGTGGATATTTGGACCTCTTTGAGGCCTTTGTTGGAAACGCGATTTCTTCCTATAATGCTAGAGAGAAGTATTCTCAGTCACTTCTTTGTGTTGTGTGCATTCAACTCAGAGATTTGAACCTTCCTTTAGAGAGAGCACATTTGAAACACTCTTTTTGTGTAATTTGCTAGTGCAGATTTCAAGCTCTTCGAGGACAATGGTAGAAAAGGAAATATCTTCGTAGGAAAACTAGACAAACTCATTCTCAGAAACTACTTTGTGATGTGTGCGTTCCACTCACAGAGTTTAACCTTTCTTTTAATTGAGCAGTTTGGAAACACTATTTTTGTAAAGTCTGCAAGTGGATATTTGGACTTCTTTGAGCCCTTCGTTGGAAACGGGATTTCTCCATATACTGCTAGACCGAAGCATTTTCAGTAACTACTTTGTGTTGTGTGTATTCAACTCACAGATTTGAACCTTTCTTTAGACAGAGCAGATTTGAAACGCTCTTTTCGTGGCTTTTGCATGTGGAGGTTTCAAACGATTTGAGGCCAATGGTAGAAAAGGAAATATCTTCGTATAAAAACTAGAGAGAATCATTCTCAGAAATTACTTTCTGATGTGTGCGTGCAACTCACGGAGATTAACCTTTCTTTTCATAGAGCAGTTTGGAAAGACTCTGTCTGTAAGGTCTGCAAGTGGATATTTAGATTTCTGGGAGGCCTTCGTTGCAAACGGGATTTCTTCATATACTCACAGACAGAAGAATTCTCAGTAACTCTTTGTGTTGTGTGCATTCAACTCACGGAGTTGAACCTTCCTTTATTCAGAGCAGTTTTGAAACACTCTTTTTGTGGAATTTGCAAGTGGAGATTTCAAGGGATTTGAGGCCAATCTTAGAAATGGAAATATCTTCGAATTAAAACTACACAGAATCGTTCGCAGAAACTAGTGTGTGATGTGTGCGTTCAACTCACAGAGTTTAACGTTTCTTTTCATAGAGCAGTTTGGAAACGCTCTCTTTGTAAAGTCTCCAAGTGGATATTTGGAGCTGTTTGAGCCCTTCGTTGGAAACGGGACTTCTTCATATAATGCTAGACAGAAGAATACTCAGTAACTTCTTTGTGTTGTGTGTATTCAACTCACAGAGTTGAACTTTTCTTTAGACAGAGCAGATTTGATACTCTCTTTTCGTGGCTTTTGCCAGAGGAGATTTCAAGCGATTTGGGGCCAATTGTAGAAAAGGAAATATCTTCGTATAAAAACTAAACAGAATCATTCTCAGAAACTTCTTTGTGATGTGTGCGTTCAACTCACAGAGTTTAACCTTTCTTTTCATAGAGCAGGTTGGAAGCACTCTCTTTGTAAAGTCTGCAAGCAGATATTTGGACCTTTTTGAGGCCTTCGTTGGAAACGGGATTTCTTCATATACTGCTAGACCGAAGAATTCTCAGTAACTTCTTTGGGTTGTGTGTATTCAATTCACAGAATTGAACCTTTCTTTAGACCGAGCAGATTTGAAACTCTCCTTTCGTTGCTTTTGCAAGTGGAGATTTCAAGCGATTTGAGGCCAATTGTAGAAAAGGAAATATCTTCGTATAAAAACTAGACAGAACAATTCTCAGAAACTGCTCTGTGATTTGTGCGTTCAACTCACAGATTTTAAACTTTCTTTTCATAGAGCAGTTTGGAAACACTCTTTTTGTAAAGTCTGCAAGCGGATATTTGGACCTCTTTCAGGCCTTCTTTGCAAACGGGATTTCTCCATATACTGCTAGCCCGAAGAATTTTCAGTAACTACTTTGTGTTGTGTGTATTCAACTCACAGATTTGAACCTTTCTTTAGACAGAGCAGATTTGAAACGCTCTTTTCGTGGCTTTTGCAAGTAAAGATTTCAAGCGATTTGAGGCCAATGGTAGAAAAGGAAATATCTTCGTATAAAAACTAGACAGAATCATTCTCAGAATCTACTTTGTGATGTGTGCGTGCAACTCACGCAGATTAACCTTTCTTTTCATAGAGAAGTTTGGAAACACTCTGTCTGTAAGGTCTGCAAGTGGATATTTAGATTTCTGTGAGGCCTTCGTTGCAAACGGGATTTCTTCATATACTGCCCGACAGAAGAATTCTCAGTTACTACTTTGTGTTGTGTGCATTCAACTCACAGAGTTGAACCTTCCTTTATTCAGAGCAGTTTTGAAACACTCTTTTTGTGGAATTTGCAAGTGGAGATTTCAAGGGATTTGAGGCCAATCTTAGAAATGGAAATATCTTCGAATTAAAACTACACAGAATCATTCGCAGAAACTAGTTTGTGATGTGTGCGTTCAACTCACAGAGTTTAACGTTTCTTTTCATAGAGCAGTTTGGAAACGCTGTCTTTGTAAAGTCTGCAAGTGGATATTAGGACCTCTTTGAGGCCTTCGTTGGAAACGGGATTTCCTCCTATAATGCTAGACAGAAGAATTCCCAGTCACTTCTTTGTGTTGTGTGCATTCAACTCAGAGATTTGAACCTTCCTTTAGAGAGAGCACATTTAAAACACTCTTTTTGTGTAATTTGCTAGTGCAGATTTCAAGCTCTTCGAGGACAATGGTAGGAAAGGAAATATCTTCGTATTAAAACTAGACAAAATCATTCTCAGAAACTACTTTGTGATGTGTGCGTTCCACTCACAGAGTTTAACCTTTCTTTTAATTGAGCAGTTTGGAAACACTCTCTTTGTAAAGTCTGCAGTAGGATATTTGGACCTCTTTGAGGCCTTCGTTGGAAACGGGATTTCTTCATATAATGCTAGATAGAAGAGTTCTCAGTAACTTGTTTGTGTTGTGTGTATTCAACTAACAGAGTTGAACCTTCCTTTAGAAAGAGCAGTTTTCAAACACTCTGTTTGTGCAATTTCCAATGGAGATTTCTAGGGATTTGAGGCCAGTCTTAGAAATGGAAATATCTTTGTATAAAAACTAGACAGTGTCATTCGCAGAAACTAGTTTGTGATGTGTGCCTTCAACTCACGGGAGTTTAACCTTTCTTTTCATAGAGCAGTTTGGAAACACTCTATTTGTAAAGTCTGCAAGTGGATATTTGGACCTCTTTGAGGCCTTCGTTGGAAACGGGATTTCTTCATATAACGCTAGACAGAAGTATTCTCAGTCACTTCTTTGTGTTGTGTGCATTCAACTCAGAGATTTGAACCTTCCTTTAGAGAGAGCACATTTGAAACACTCTTTTTGTGTAATTTGCTAGTGCAGATTTCAAGCTCTTCGAGGACAATGGTAGAAAAGGAAATATCTTCGTATGAAAACTAGACAAACTCATTCTCAGAAACTACTTTGTGATGTGTGCGTTCCACTCACAGAGTTTAACCTTTCTTTTAATTGAGCAGTTTGGAAACACTATTTTTGTAAAGTCTGCAAGTGGATATTTGGACTTCTTTGAGCCCTTCGTTGGAAACGGGATTTCTCCATATACTGCTAGACCGAAGTATTTTCAGTAACTACTTTGTGTTGTGTGTATTCAACTCACAGATTTGAACCTTTCTTTAGACAGAGCAGATTTGAAACGCTCTTTTCGTGGCTTTTGCATGTGGAGGTTTCAAACGATTTGAGGCCAATGGTAGAAAAGGAAATATCTTCGTATAAAAACTAGAGAGAATCATTCTCAGAAATTACTTTCTGATGTGTGCGTGCAACTCACGGAGATTAACCTTTCTTTTCATAGAGCAGTTTGGAAAGACTCTGTCTGTAAGGTCTGCAAGTGGATATTTAGATTTCTGTGAGGCCTTCGTTGCAAACGGGATTTCTTCATATACTCACAGACAGAAGAATTCTCAGTAACTCTTTGTGTTGTGTGCATTCAACTCACGGAGTTGAACCTTCCTTTATTCAGAGCAGTTTTGAAACACTCTTTTTGTGGAATTTGCAAGTGGAGATTTCAAGGGATTTGAGGCCAATCTTAGAAATGGAAATATCTTCGAATTAAAACTACACAGAATCGTTCGCAGAAACTAGTTTGTGATGTGTGCGTTCAACTCACAGAGTTTAACGTTTCTTTTCATAGAGCAGTTTGGAAACGCTCTCTTTGTAAAGTCTCCAAGTGGATATTTGGAGCTCTTTGAGCCCTTCGTTGGAAACGGGACTTCTTTCATATAATGCTAGACAGAAGAATACTCAGTAACTTCTTTGTGCTGTGTGTATTCAACTCACAGAGTTGAACTTTTCTTTAGACAGAGCAGATTTGATACTCTCTTTTCGTGGCTTTTGCCAGAGGAGATTTCAAGTCATTGGAGGCCAATGGTAGAAAAGAAAATATCTTCGTATAATAACTAAACAGAATCATTCTCAGAAACTTCTTTGTGATGTGTGCGTTCAACTCACAGAGTTTAACCTTTCTTTTCATAGAGCAGGTTGGAAGCACTCTCTTGGTAAAGTCTGCAAGCAGATATTTGGACCTTTTTGAGGCCTTCGTTGGAAACGGGATTTCTTCATATACTGCTAGACCGAAGAATTCTCAGTAACTTCTTTGGGTTGTGTGTATTCAATTCACAGAGTTGAACCTTTCTTTAGACCGAGCAGATTTGAAACTCTCCTTTCGTTGCTTTTGCAAGTGGAGATTTCAAGCGATTTGAGGCCAATTGTAGAAAAGGAAATATCTTCGTATAAAAACTAGACAGAACAATTCTCAGAAACTGCTCTGTGATTTGTGCGTTCAACTCACAGATTATAAACTTTCTTTTCATAGAGCAGTTTGGAAACACTCTTTTTGTAAAGTCTGCAAGCGGATATTTGGACCTCTTTCAGGCCTTCTTTGGAAACGGGATTTCTCCATATACTGCTAGCCCGAAGCATTTTCAGTAACTACTTTGTGTTGTGTGTATTCAACTCACAGATTTGAACCTTTCTTTAGACAGAGCAGATTTGAAACGCTCTTTTCGTGGCTTTTGCAAGTAAAGATTTCAAGCGATTTGAGGCCAATGGTAGAAAAGGAAATATCTTCGTATAAAAACTAGACAGAATCTTTCTCAGAATCTACTTTGTGATGTGTGCGTGCAACTCACGGAGATTAACCTTTCTTTTCATAGAGAAGTTTGGAAACACTCTGTCTGTAAGGTCTGCAAGTGGATATTTAGATTTCTGTGAGGCCTTCATTGCAAACGGGATTTCTTCATATACTGCCCGACAGAAGAATTCTCAGTTACTACTTTCTGTTGTGTGCATTCAACTCACAGAGTTGAACCTTCCTTTATTCAGAGCAGTTTTGAAACACTCTTTTTGTGGAATTTGCAAGTGGAGATTGCAAGGGATTTGAGGCCAATCTTAGAAATGGAAATATCTTCGAATTAAAACTACACAGAATCATTCGCAGAAACTAGTTTGTGATGTGTGCGTTCAACTCACAGAGTTTAACGTTTCTTTTCATAGAGCAGTTTGGAAACGCTGTCTTTGTAAAGTCTGCAAGTGGATATTAGGACCTCCTTTGAGGCCTTCGTTGGAAACGGGATTTCCTCCTGTAATGCTAGACAGAAGAATTCCCAGTCACTTCTTTGTGTTGTGTGCATTCAACTCAGACATTTGAACCTTCCTTTAGAGAGAGCACATTTAAAACACTCTTTTTGTGTAATTTGCTAGTGCAGATTTCAAGCTCTTCGAGGACAATGGTAGGAAAGGAAATATCTTCGTATTAAAACTAGACAAAATCATTCTCAGAAACTACTTTGTGATGTGTGCGTTCCACTCACAGAGTTTAACCTTTCTTTTAATTGAGCAGTTTGGAAACACTCTCTTTGTAAAGCCTGCAGTAGGATATTTGGACCTCTTTGAGGCCTTCGTTTGAAACGGGATTTCTTCATATAATGCTAGATAGAAGAGTTCTCAGTAACTTGTTTGTGTTGTGTGTATTCAACTAACAGAGTTGAACCTTCCTTTAGAAAGAGCAGTTTTCAAACACTCTGTTTGTGCAATTTCCAATGGAGATTTCTAGGGATTTGAGGCCAGTCTTAGAAATGGAAATATCTTTGTATAAAAACTAGACAGTGTCATTCTGAGATACTACCTTGTGATGTGTGCGTTCAACTCACAGAGTTTAACCTTTCTTTTCATAGAGCAGTTTGGAAACACTCTATTTGTAAAGTCTGCAAGTGGATATTTGGACCTCTTTGAGGCCTTCGTTGGAAACGGGATTTCTTCCTATAATGCTAGACAGAAGTATTCTCAGTCACTTCTTTGTGTTGTGTGCATTCAACTCAGAGATTTGAACCTTCCTTTAGAGAGAGCACATTTGAAACACTCTTTTTGTGTAATTTGCTAGTGCAGATTTCAAGCTCTTCGAGGACAATGGTAGAAAAGGAAATATCTTCGTATGAAAACTAGACAAACTCATTCTCAGAAACTACTTTGTGATGTGTGCGTTCCACTCACAGAGTTTAACCTTTCTTTTAATTGAGCAGTTTGGAAACACTATTTTTGTAAAGTCTGCAAGTGGATATTTGGACTTCTTTGAGCCCTTCGTTGGAAACGGGATTTCTCCATATACTGCTAGACCGAAGCATTTTCAGTAACTACTTTGTGTTGTGTGTATTCAACTCACAGATTTGAACCTTTCTTTAGACAGAGCAGATTTGAAACGCTCTTTTCGTGGCTTTTGCATGTGGAGGTTTCAAACGATTTGAGGCCAATGGTAGAAAAGGAAATATCTTCGTATAAAAACTAGAGAGAATCATTCTCAGAAATTACTTTCTGATGTGTGCGTGCAACTCACGGAGATTAACCTTTCTTTTCATAGAGCAGTTTGGAAAGACTCTGTCTGTAAGGTCTGCAAGTGGATATTTAGATTTCTGTGAGGCCTTCGTTGCAAATGGGATTTCTTCATATACTCACAGACAGAAGAATTCTCAGTAACTCTTTGTGTTGTGTGCATTCAACTCACGGAGTTGAACCTTCCTTTATTCAGAGCAGTTTTGAAACACTCTTTTTGTGGAATTTGCAAGTGGAGATTTCAAGGGATTTGAGGCCAATCTTAGAAATGGAAATATCTTCGAATTAAAACTACACAGAATCGTTCGCAGAAACTAGTTTGTGATGCGTGCGTTCAACTCACAGAGTTTAACGTTTCTTTTCATAGAGCAGTTTGGAAACGCTCTCTTTGTAAAGTCTCCAAGTGGATATTTGGAGCTGTTTGAGCCCTTCGTTGGAAACGGGACTTCTTCATATAATGCTAGACAGAAGAATACTCAGTAACTACTTTGTGCTGTGTGTATTCAACTAACAGAGTTGAACTTTTCTTTAGACAGAGCAGATTTGATACTCTCTTTTCATGGGTTTTGCCAGAGGAGATTTCAAGTCATTGGAGGCCAATGGTAGAAAAGAAAATATCTTCGTATAATAACTAAACAGAATCATTCTCAGAAACTTCTTTGTGATGTGTGCGTTCAACTCACAGAGTTTAACCTTTCTTTTCACAGAGCAGGTTGGAAGCACTCTCTTTGTAAAGTCTGCAAGCAGATATTTGGACCTTTTTGAGGCCTTCGTTGGAAACAGGATTTCTTCATATACTGCTAGACCGAAGAATTCTCAGTAACTTCTTTGGGTTGTGTGTATTGAATTCACAGAGTTGAACCTTTCTTTAGACCGAGCAGATTTGAAACTCTCCTTTCGTTGCTTTTGCAAGTGGAGATTTCAAGCGATTTGAGGCCAATTGTAGAAAAGGAAATATCTTCGTATAAAAACTAGACAGAACAATTCTCAGAAACTGCTCTGTGATTTGTGCGTTCAACTCACAGATTTTAAACTTTCTTTTCATAGAGCAGTTTGGAAACACTCTTTTTGTAAAGTCTGCAAGCGGATATTTGGACCTCTTTCAGGCCTTCTTTGGAAACGGGATTTCTCCATATACTGCTAGCCCGAAGACTTTTCAGTAACTACTTTGTGTTGTGTGTATTCAACTCACAGATTTGAACCTTTCTTTAGACAGAGCAGATTTGAAATGCACTTTTCGTGGCTTTTGCAAGTAAAGATTTCAAGCGATTTGAGGCCAATGGTAGAAAAGGAAATATCTTCGTATAAAAACTAGACAGAATCATTCTCAGAATCTACTTTGTGATGTGTGCGTGCAACTCACGGAGATTAACCTTTCTTTTCATAGAGAAGTTTGGAAACACTCTGTCTGTAAGGTCTGCAAGTGGATATTTAGATTTCTGTGAGGCCTTCGTTGCAAACGGGATTTCTTCATATACTGCCCGACAGAAGAATTCTCAGTTACTACTTTGTGTTGTGTGCATTCAACTCACAGAGTTGAACCTTCCTTTATTCAGAGCAGTTTTGAAACACTCTTTTTGTGGAATTTGCAAGTGGAGATTTCAAGGGATTTGAGGCCAATCTTAGAAATGGAAATATCTTCGAATTAAAACTACACAGAATCATTCGCAGAAACTAGTTTGTGATGTGTGCGTTCAACTCACAGAGTTTAACGTTTCTTTTCATAGAGCAGTTTGGAAACGCTGTCTTTGTAAAGTCTGCAAGTGGATATTAGGATATCTTTGAGGCCTTCGTTGGAAACGGGATTTCCTCCTATAATGCTAGACAGAAGAATTCCCAGTCACTTCTTTGTGTTGTGTGCATTCAACTCAGAGATTTGAACCTTCCTTTAGAGAGAGCACATTTAAAACACTCTTTTTGTGTAATTTGCTAGTGCAGATTTCAAGCTCTTCGAGGACAATGGTAGGAAAGGAAATATCTTCGTATGAAAACTAGACAAAATCATTCTCAGAAACTACTTTGTGATGTGTGCGTTCCACTCACAGAGTTTAACCTTTCTTTTAATTGAGCAGTTTGGAAACACTCTCTTTGTAAGGTCTGCAGTAGGATATTTGGACCTCTTTGAGGCCTTCGTTGGAAACGGGATTTCTTCATATAATGCTAGATAGAAGAATTCTCAGTAACTTGTTTGTGTTGTGTGTATTCAACTAACAGAGTTGAACCTTCCTTTAGAAAGAGCAGTTTTCAAACACTCTGTTTGTGCAATTTCCAATGGAGATTTCTAGGGATTTGAGGCCAGTCTTAGAAATGGAAATATCTTTGTATAAAAACTAGACAGTGTCATTCTGAGATACTACCTTGTGATGTGTGCGTTCAACTCACAGAGTTTAACCTTTCTTTTCATAGAGCAGTTTGGAAACACTCTATTTGTGAAGTCTGCAAGTGGATATTTGGACCTCTTTGAGGCCTTCGTTGGAAACGGGATTTCTTCCTATAATGCTAGACAGAAGTATTCTCAGTCACTTCTTTGTGTTGTGTGCATTCAACTCAGAGATTTGAACCTTCCTTTAGAGAGAGCACATTTGAAACACTCTTTTTGTGTAATTTGCTAGTGCAGATTTCAAGCTCTTCGAGGACAATGGTAGAAAAGGAAATATCTTCGTATGAAAACTAGACAAACTCATTCTCAGAAACTACTTTGTGATGTGTGCGTTCCACTCACAGAGTTTAACCTTTCTTTTAATTGAGCAGTTTGGAAACACTATTTTTGTAAAGTCTGCAAGTGGATATTTGGACTTCTTTGAGCCCTTCGTTGGAAACGGGATTTCTCCATATACTGCTAGACTGAAGCATTTTCAGTAACTACTTTGTGTTGTGTGTATTCAACTCACAGATTTGAACCTTTCTTTAGACAGAGCAGATTTGAAACGCTCTTTTCGTGGCTTTTGCAAGTAAAGATTTCAAGCGATTTGAGGCCAATGGTAGAAAAGGAAATATCTTCGTATAAAAACTAGAGAGAATCATTCTCAGAAATTACTTTCTGATGTGTGCGTGCAACTCACGGAGATTAACCTTTCTTTTCATAGAGCAGTTTGGAAAGACTCTGTCTGTAAGGTCTGCAAGTGGATATTTAGATTTCTGTGAGGCCTTCGTTGCAAACGGGATTTCTTCATATACTCACAGACAGAAGAATTCTCAGTAACTCTTTGTGTTGTGTGCATTCAACTCACGGAGTTGAACCTTCCTTTATTCAGAGCAGTTTTGAAACACTCTTTTTGTGGAATTTGCAAGTGGAGATTTCAAGGGATTTGAGGCCAATCTTAGAAATGGAAATATCTTCGAATTAAAACTACACAGAATCGTTCGCAGAAACTAGTTTGTGATGTGTGCGTTCAACTCACAGAGTTTAACGTTTCTTTCCATAGAGCAGTTTGGAAACGCTCTCTTTGTAAAGTCTCCAAGTGGATATTTGGAGCTGTTTGAGCCCTTCGTTGGAAACGGGACTTCTTCATATAATGCTAGACAGAAGAATACTCAGTAACTTCTTTGTGCTGTGTGTATTCAACTCACAGAGTTGAACTTTTCTTTAGACAGAGCAGATTTGATACTCTCTTTTCGTGGCTTTTGCCAGAGGAGATTTCAAGTCATTGGAGGCCAATGGTAGAAAAGAAAATATCTTCGTATAATAACTAAACAGAATCATTCTCAGAAACTTCTTTGTGATGTGTGCGTTCAACTCACAGAGTTTAACCTTTCTTTTCATAGAGCAGGTTGGAAGCACTCTCTTTGTAAAGTCTGCAAGCAGATATTTGGACCTTTTTGAGGCCTTCGTTGGAAACGGGATTTCTTCATATACTGCTAGACCGAAGAATTCTCAGTAACTTCTTTGGGTTGTGTGTATTCAATTCACAGAGTTGAACCTTTCTTTAGACCGAGCAGATTTGAAACTCTCCTTTCGTTGCTTTTGCAAGTGGAGATTTCAAGCGATTTGAGGCCAATTGTAGAAAAGGAAATATCTTCGTATAAAAACTAGACAGAACAATTCTCAGAAACTGCTCTGTGATTTGTGCGTTGAACTCACAGATTTTAAACTTTCTTTTCATACAGCAGTTTGGAAACACTCTTTTTGTAAAGTCTGCAAGCGGATATTTGGACCTCTTTCAGGCCTTCTTTGGAAACGGGATTTCTCCATATACTGCTAGCCCGAAGCATTTTCAGTAACTACTTTGTGTTGTGTGTATTCAACTCACAGATTTGAACCTTTCTTTAGACAGAGCAGATTTGAAACGCTCTTTTCGTGGCTTTTGCAAGTAAAGATTTCAAGCGATTTGAGGCCAATGGTAGAAAAGGAAATATCTTCGTATAAAAACTAGACAGAATCATTCTCAGAATCTACTTTGTGATGTGTGCGTGCAACTCACGGAGATTAACCTTTCTTTTCATAGAGAAGTTTGGAAACACTCTGTCTGTAAGGTCTGCAAGTGGAAATTTAGATTTCTGTGAGGCCTTCGTTGCAAACGGGATTTCTTCATATACTGCCCGACAGAAGAATTCTCAGTTACTACTTTCTGCTGTGTGCATTCAACTCACAGAGTTGAACCTTCCTTTATTCAGAGCAGTTTTGAAACCCGCTTTTTGTGGAATTTGCAAGTGGAGATTTCAAGGGATTTGAGGCCAATCTTAGAAATGGAAATATCTTCGAATTAAAACTACACAGAATCATTCGCAGAAACTAGTTTGTGATGTGTGCGTTCAACTCACAGAGTTTAACGTTTCTTTTCATAGAGCAGTTTGGAAACGCTGTCTTTGTAAAGTCTGCAAGTGGATATTAGGACCTCTTTGAGGCCTTCGTTGGAAACGGGATTTCCTCCTATAATGCTAGACAGAAGAATTCCCAGTCACTTCTTTGTGTTGTGTGCATTCAACTCAGACATTTGAACCTTCCTTTAGAGAGAGCACATTTAAAACACTCTTTTTGTGTAATTTGCTAGTGCAGATTTCAAGCTCTTCGAGGACAATGGTAGGAAAGGAAATATCTTCGTATTAAAACTAGACAAAATCATTCTCAGAAACTACTTTGTGATGTGTGCGTTCCACTCACAGACTTTAACCTTTCTTTTAATTGAGCAGTTTGGAAACACTCTCTTTGTAAAGTCTGCAGTAGGATATTTGGACCTCTTTGAGGCCTTCGTTGGAAACGGGATTTCTTCATATAATGCTAGATAGAAGAATTCTCAGTAACTTGTTTGTGTTGTTTGTATTCAACTAACAGAGTTGAACCTTCCTTTAGAAAGAGCAGTTTTCAAACACTCTGTTTGTGCAATTTCCAATGGAGATTTCTAGGGATTTGAGGCCAGTCTTAGAAATGGAAATATCTTTGTATAAAAACTAGACAGTGTCATTCTGAGATACTACCTTGTGATGTGTGCGTTCAACTCACAGAGTTTAACCTTTCTTTTCATAGAGCAGTTTGGAAACACTCTATTTGTAAAGTCTGCAAGTGGATATTTGGACCTCTTTGAGGCCTTCGTTGGAAACGGGATTTCTTCCTATAATGCTAGACAGAAGTATTCTCAGTCACTTCTTTGTGTTGTGTGCATTCAACTCAGAGATTTGAACCTTCCTTTAGAGAGAGCACATTTGAAACACTCTATTTGTGTAATTTGCTAGTACAGATTTCAAGCTCTTCGAGGACAATGGTAGAAAAGGAAATATCTTCGTATGAAAACTAGACAAAATCATTCTCAGAAACTACTTTGTGATGTGTGCGTTCCACTCACAGAGTTTAACCTTTCTTTTAATTGAGCAGTTTGGAAACACTATTTTTGTAAAGTCTGCAAGTGGATATTTGGACTTCTTTGAGCCCTTCGTTGGAAACGGGATTTCTCCATATACTGCTAGACCGAAGCATTTTCAGTAACTACTTTGTGTTGTGTGTATTCAACTCACAGATTTGAACCTTTCTTTAGACAGAGCAGATTTGAAACGCTCTTCTCGTGGCTTTTGCATGTGGAGGTTTCAAACGATTTGAGGCCAATGGTAGAAAAGGAAATATCTTCGTATAAAAACTAGAGAGAATCATTCTCAGAAATTACTTTCTGATGTGTGCGTGCAACTCACGGAGATTAACCTTTCTTTTCATAGAGCAGTTTGGAAAGACTCTGTCTGTAAGGTCTGCAAGTGGATATTTAGATTTCCTGTGAGGCCTTCGTTGCAAACGGGATTTCTTCATATACTCACAGACAGAAGAATTCTCAGTAACTCTTTGTGTTGTGTGCATTCAACTCACGGAGTTGAACCTTCCTTTATTCAGAGCAGTTTTGAAACACTCTTTTTGTGGAATTTGCAAATGGAGATTTCAAGGGATTTGAGGCCAATCTTAGAAATGGAAATATCTTCGAATTAAAACTACACAGAATCGTTCGCAGAAACCAGTTTGTGATGTGTGCGTTCAACTCACAGAGTTTAACGTTTCTTTCCATAGAGCAGTTTGGAAACGCTCTCTTTGTAAAGTCTCCAAGTAGATATTTGGAGCTGTTTGAGCCCTTCGTTGGAAACTGGACTTCTTCATATAATGCTAGACAGAAGAATACTCAGTAACTTCTTTGTGCTGTGTGTATTCAACTCACAGAGTTGAACTTTTCTTTAGACAGAGCAGATTTGATACTCTCTTTTCATGGGTTTTGCCAGAGGAGATTTCAAGTCATTGGAGGCCAATGGTAGAAAAGAAAATATCTTCGTATAATAACTAAACAGAATCATTCTCAGAAACTTCTTTGTGATGTGTGCGTTCAACTCACAGAGTTTAACCTTTCTTTTCATAGAGCAGGTTGGAAGCACTCTCTTTGTAAAGTCTGCAAGCAGATATTTGGACCTTTTTGAGGCCTTCTTTTGAAACGGGATTTCTTCATATACTGCTAGACCGAAGAATTCTCATTAACTTCTTTGTGTTGTGTGTATTCAATTCACAGAGTTGAACCTTTCTTTAGACCGAGCAGATTTGAAACTCTCCTTTCGTTGCTTTTGCAAGTGGAGATTTCAAGCGATTTGAGGCCAATTGTAGAAAAGGAAATATCTTCGTATAAAAACTAGACAGAACAATTCTCAGAAACTGCTCTGTGATTTGTGCGTTCAACTCACAGATTTTAAACTTTCTTTTCATAGAGCAGTTTGGAAACACTCTTTTTGTAAAGTCTGCAAGCGGATATTTGGACCTCTTTCAGGCCTTCTTTGGAAACGGGATTTCTCCATATACTGCTAGCCCGAAGCATTTTCAGTAACTACTTTGTGTTGTGTGTATTCAACTCACAGATTTGAACCTTTCTTTAGACAGAGCAGATTTGAAACGCTCTTTTCGTGGCTTTTGCAAGTAAAGATTTCAAGCGATTTGAGGCCAATGGTAGAAAAGGAAATATCATCGTATAAAAACTAGACAGAATCATTCTCAGAATCTACTTTGTGATGTGTGCGTGCAACTCACGGAGATTAAGCTTTCTTTTCATAGAGAAGTTTGGAAACACTCTGTCTGTAAGGTCTGCAAGTGGATATTTAGATTTCTGTGAGGCCTTCGTTGCAAACGGGATTTCTTCATATACTGCCCGACAGAAGAATTCTCAGTTACTACTTTCTGTTGTGTGCATTCAACTCACAGAGTTGAATCTTCCTTTATTCAGAGCAGTTTTGAAACACTCTTTTTGTGGAATTTGCAAGTGGAGATTTCAAGGGATTTGAGGCCTAATCTTAGAAATGTAAATATCTTCGAATTAAAACTACACAGAATCATTCGCAGAAACTAGTTTGTGATGTGTGCGTTCAACTCACAGAGTTTAACGTTTCTTTTCATAGAGCAGTTTGGAAACGCTGTCTTTGTAAAGTCTGCAAGTGGATATTAGGACCTCTTTGAGGCCTTCGTTGGAAACGGGATTTCCTCCTATAATGCTAGACAGAAGAATTCCCAGTCACTTCTTTGTGTTGTGTGCATTCAACTCAGAGATTTGAACCTTCCTTTAGAGAGAGCACATTTAAAACACTCTTTTTGTGTAATTTGCTAGTGCAGATTTCAAGCTCTTCGAGGACAATGGTAGAAAAGGAAATATCTTCGTATGAAAACTAGACAAACTCATTCTCAGAAACTACTTTGTGATGTGTGCGTTCCACTCACAGAGTTTAACCTTTCTTTTAATTTAGCAGTTTGGAAACACTATTTTTGTAAAGTCTGCAAGTGGATATTTGGACTTCTTTGAGCCCTTCGTTGGAAACGGGATTTCTCCATATACTGCTAGACCGAAGCATTTTCAGTAACTACTTTGTGTTGTGTGTATTCAACTCACAGATTTGAACCTTTCTTTAGACAGAGCAGATTTGAAACGCTCTTTTCGTGGCTTTTGCATGTGGAGGTTTCAAACGATTTGAGGCCAATGGTAGAAAAGGAAATATCTTCGTATAAAAACTAGAGAGAATCATTCTCAGAAATTACTTTCTGATGTGTGCGTGCAACTCACGGAGATTAACCTTTCTTTTCATAGAGCAGTTTGGAAAGACTCTGTCTGTAAGGTCTGCAAGTGGATATTTAGATTTCTGGGAGGCCTTCGTTGCAAACGGGATTTCTTCATATACTCACAGACAGAAGAATTCTCAGTAACTCTTTGTGTTGTGTGCATTCAACTCACGGAGTTGAACCTTCCTTTATTCAGAGCAGTTTTGAAACACTCTTTTTGTGGAATTTGCAAGTGGAGATTTCAAGGGATTTGAGGCCAATCTTAGAAATGGAAATATCTTCGAATTAAAACTACACAGAATCGTTCGCAGAAACTAGTTTGTGATGCGTGCGTTCAACTCAAAGAGTTTAACGTTTCTTTTCATAGAGCAGTTTGGAAACGCTCTCTTTGTAAAGTCTCCAAGTGGATATTTGGAGCTGTTTGAGCCCTTCGTTGGAAACGGGACTTCTTCATATAATGCTAGACAGAAGAATACTCAGTAACTTCTTTGTGCTGTGTGTATTCAACTCACAGAGTTGAACTTTTCTTTAGACAGAGCAGATTTGATACTCTCTTTTCGTGGCTTTTGCCAGAGGAGATTTCAAGTCATTGGAGGCCAATGGTAGAAAAGAAAATATCTTCGTATAATAACTAAACAGAATCATTCTCAGAAACTTCTTTGTGATGTGTGCGTTCAACTCACAGAGTTTAACCTTTCTTTTCATAGAGCAGGTTGGAAGCACTCTCTTTGTAAAGTCTGCAAGCAGATATTTGGACCTTTTTGAGGCCTTCGTTGGAAACGGGATTTCTTCATATACTGCTAGACCGAAGAATTCTCAGTAACTTCTTTGGGTTGTGTGTATTCAATTCACAGAGTTGAACCTTTCTTTAGACCGAGCAGATTTGAAACTCTCCTTTCGTTGCTTTTGCAAGTGGAGATTTCAAGCGATTTGAGGCCAATTGTAGAAAAGGAAATATCTTCGTATAAAAACTAGACAGAACAATTCTCAGAAACTGCTCTGTGATTTGTGCGTTCAACTCACAGATTTTAAACTTTCTTTTCATAGAGCAGTTTGGAAACACTCTTTTTGTAAAGTCTGCAAGCGGATATTTGGACCTCTTTCAGGCCTTCTTTGGAAACGGGATTTCTCCATATACTGCTAGCCCGAAGCATTTTCAGTAACTACTTTGTGTTGCGTGTATTCAACTCACAGATTTGAACCTTTCTTTAGACAGAGCAGATTTGAAACGCTCTTTTCGTGGCTTTTGCAAGTAAAGATTTCAAGCGATTTGAGGCCAATGGTAGAAAAGGAAATATCTTCGTATAAAAACTAGACGGAATCATTCTCAGAATCTACTTTGTGATGTGTGCGTGCAACTCACGGAGATTAACCTTTCTTTTCATAGAGAAGTTTGGAAACACTCTGTCTGTAAGGTCTGCAAGTGGATATTTAGATTTCTGTGAGGCCTTCGTTGCAAACGGGATTTCTTCATATACTGCCTGACAGAAGAATTCTCAGTTACTACTTTCTGTTGTGTGCATTCAACTCACAGAGTTGAACCTTCCTTTATTCAGAGCAGTTTTGAAACACTCTTTTTGTGGAATTTGCAAGTGGAGATTGCAAGGGATTTGAGGCCAATCTTAGAAATGGAAATATCTTCGAATTAAAACTACACAGAATCATTCGCAGAAACTAGTTTGTGATGTGTGCGTTCAACTCACAGAGTTTAACGTTTCTTTTCATAGAGCAGTTTGGAAACGCTGTCTTTGTAAAGTCTGCAAGTGGATATTAGGACCTCTTTGAGGCCTTCGTTGGAAACGGGATTTCCTCCTATAATGCTAGACAGAAGAATTCCCAGTCACTTCTTTGTGTTGTGTGCATTCAACTCAGAGATTTGAACCTTCCTTTAGAGAGAGCACATTTAAAACACTCTTTTTGTGTAATTTGCTAGTGCAGATTTCAAGCTCTTCGAGGACAATGGTAGGAAAGGAAATATCTTCGTATGAAAACTAGACAAACTCATTCTCAGAAACTACTTTGTGATGTGTGCGTTCCACTCACAGAGTTTAACCTTTCTTTTAATTGAGCAGTTTGGAAACACTATTTTTGTAAAGTCTGCAAGTGGATATTTGGACTTCTTTGAGCCCTTCGTTGGAAACGGGATTTCTCCATATACTGCTAGACTGAAGCATTTTCAGTAACTACTTTGTGTTGTGTGTATTCAACTCACAGATTTGAACCTTTCTTTAGACAGAGCAGATTTGAAACGCTCTTTTCGTGGCTTTTGCATGTGGAGGTTTCAAACGATTTGAGGCCAATGGTAGAAAAGGAAATATCTTCGTATAAAAACTAGAGAGAATCATTCTCAGAAATTACTTTCTGATGTGTGCGTGCAACTCACGGAGATTAACCTTTCTTTTCATAGAGCAGTTTGGAAAGACTCTGTCTGTAAGGTCTGCAAGTGGATATTTAGATTTCTGGGAGGCCTTCGTTGCAAACGGGATTTCTTCATATACTCACAGACAGAAGAATTCTCAGTAACACTTTGTGTTGTGTGCATTCAACTCACGGAGTTGAACCTTCCTTTATTCAGAGCAGTTTTGAAACACTCTTTTTGTGGAATTTGCAAGTGGAGATTTCAAGGGATTTGAGGCCAATCTTAGAAATGGAAATATCTTCGAATTAAAACTACACAGAATCGTTCGCAGAAACTAGTTTGTGATGTGTGCGTTCAACTCACAGAGTTTAACGTTTCTTTCCATAGAGCAGTTTGGAAACGCTCTCTTTGTAAAGTCTCCAAGTGGATATTTGGAGCTCTTTGAGCCCTTCGTTGGAAACGGGACTTCTTCATATAATGCTAGACAGAAGAATACTCAGTAACTTCTTTGTGCTGTGTGTATTCAACTCACAGAGTTGAACTTTTCTTTAGACAGAGCAGATTTGATACTCTCTTTTCGTGGCTTTTGCCAGAGGAGATTTCAAGTCATTGGAGGCCAATGGTAGAAAAGAAAATATCTTCGTATAATAACTAAACAGAATCATTCTCAGAAACTTCTTTGTGATGTGTGCGTTCAACTCACAGAGTTTAACCTTTCTTTTCACAGAGCAGGTTGGAAGCACTCTCTTTGTAAAGTCTGCAAGCAGATATTTGGACCTTTTTGAGGCCTTCGTTGGAAACAGGATTTCTTCATATACTGCTAGACCGAAGAATTCTCAGTAACTTCTTTGGGTTGTGTGTATTCAATTCACAGAGTTGAACCTTTGTTTAGACCGAGCAGATTTGAAACTCTCCTTTCGTTGCTTTTGCAAGTGGAGATTTCAAGCGATTTGAGGCCAATTGTAGAAAAGGAAATATCTTCGTATAAAAACTAGACAGAACAATTCTCAGAAACTGCTCTGTGATTTGTGCGTTCAACTCACAGATTTTAAACTTTCTTTTCATAGAGCAGTTTGGAAACACTCTTTTTGTAAAGTCTGCAAGCGGATATTTAGACCTCTTTCAGGCCTTCTTTGGAAACGGGATTTCTCCATATACTGCTAGCCCGAAGAATTTTCAGTAACTACTTTGTGTTGTGTGTATTCAACTCACAGATTTGAACCTTTCTTTAGACAGAGCAGATTTGAAACGCTCTTTTCGTGGCTTTGGCAAGTAAAGATTTCAAGCGATTTGAGGCCAATGGTAGAAAAGGAAATATCTTCGTATAAAAACTAGACAGAATCATTCTCAGAATCTACTTTGTGATGTGTGCGTGCAACTCACGGAGATTAACCTTTCTTTTCATAGAGAAGTTTGGAAACACTCTGTCTGTAAGGTCTGCAAGTGGATATTTAGATTTCTGTGAGGCCTTCGTTGCAAACGGGATTTCTTCATATACTGCCCGACAGAAGAATTCTCAGTAACTACTTTGTGTTGTGTGCATTCAACTCACAGTGTTGAACCTTCCTTTATTCAGAGCAGTTTTGAAACACACTTTTTGTGGAATTTGCAAGTGGAGATTTCAAGGGATTTGAGGCCAATCTTAGAAATGGAAATATCTTCGAATTAAAACTACACAGAATCATTCGCAGAAACTAGTTTGTGATGTGTGCGTTCAACTCACAGAGTTTAAGGTTTCTTTTTATAGAGCAGTTTGGAAACGCTGTCTTTGTAAAGTCTGCAAGTGGATATTAGGACCTCTTTGAGGCCTTCGTTGGAAACGGGATTTCCTCCTATAATGCTAGACAGAAGAATTCCCAGTCACTTCTTTGTGTTGTGTGCATTCAACTCAGAGATTTGAACCTTTCTTTAGAGAGAGCACATTTGAAACACTCTTTTTGTGTAATTTTCTATTGCAGATTTCAAGCTCTTCGAGGACAATGGTAGGAAAGGAAATATCTTCGTATGAAAACTAGACAAAATCATTCTCAGAAACTACTTTGTGATGTGTGCGTTCCACTCACAGAGTTTAACCTTTCTTTTAATTGAGCAGTTTGGAAACACTCTCTTTGTAAAGTCTGCAGTAGGATATTTGGACCTCTTTGAGGCCTTCGTTGGAAACGGGATTTCTTCATATAATGCTAGATAGAAGAATTCTCAGTAACTTGTTTGTGTTGTGTGTATTCAACTAACAGAGTTGAACCTTCCTTTAGAAAGAGCAGTTTTCAAACACTCTGTTTGTGCAATTTCCAATGGAGATTTCTAGGGATTTGAGGCCAGTCTTAGAAATGGAAATATCTTTGTATAAAAACTAGACAGTGTCATTCTGAGATACTACCTTGTGATGTGTGCGTTCAACTCACAGAGTTTAACCTTTCTTTTCACAGAGCAGTTTGGAAACACTCTATTTGTAAAGTCTGCAAGTGGATATTTGGACCTCTTTGAGGCCTTCGTTGGAAACGGGATTTCTTCCTATAATGCTAGACAGAAGTATTCTCAGTCACTTCTTTGTGTTGTGTGCATTCAACTCAGAGATTTGAACCTTCCTTTAGAGAGAGCACATTTGAAACACTCTATTTGTGTAATTTGCTAGTACAGATTTCAAGCTCTTCGAGGACAATGGTAGAAAAGGAAATATCTTCGTATGAAAACTAGACAAAATCATTCTCAGAAACTACTTTGTGATGTGTGCGTTCCACTCACAGAGTTTAACCTTTCTTTTAATTGAGCAGTTTGGAAACACTATTTTTGTAAAGTCTGCAAGTGGATATTTGGACTTCTTTGAGCCCTTCGTTGGAAACGGGATTTCTCCATATACTGCTAGACCGAAGCATTTTCAGTAACTACTTTGTGTTGTGTGTATTCAACTCACAGATTTGAACCTTTCTTTAGACAGAGCAGATTTGAAACGCTCTTCTCGTGGCTTTTGCATGTGGAGGTTTCAAACGATTTGAGGCCAATGGTAGAAAAGGAAATATCTTCGTATAAAAACTAGAGAGAATCATTCTCAGAAATTACTTTGTGATGTGTGCGTGCAACTCACGGAGATTAACCTTTCTTTTCATAGAGCAGTTTGGAAAGACTCTGTCTGTAAGGTCTGCAAGTGGATATTTAGATTTCTGTGAGGCCTTCGTTGCAAACGGGATTTCTTCATATACTCACAGACAGAAGAATTCTCAGTAACTATTTGTGTTGTGTGCATTCAACTCACGGAGTTGAACCTTCCTTTATTCGGAGCAGTTTTGAAACACTCTTTTTGTGGAATTTGCAAGTGGAGATTTCAAGGGATTTGAGGCCAATCTTAGAAATGGAAATATCTTCGAATTAAAACTACACAGAATCGTTCGCAGAAACTAGTTTGTGATGTGTGCGTTCAACTCACAGAGTTTAACGTTTCTTTTCATAGAGCAGTTTGGAAACGCTCTCTTTGTAAAGTCTCCAAGTGGATATTTGGAGCTCTTTGAGCCCTTCGTTGGAAACGGGACTTCTTCATATAATGCTACACAGAAGAATACTCAGTAACTTCTTTGTGCTGTGTGTATTCAACTCACAGAGTTGAACTTTTCTTTAGACAGAGCAGATTTGATACTCTCTTTTCGTGGGTTTTGCCAGAGGAGATTTCAAGTCATTGGAGGCCAATGGTAGAAAAGAAAATATCTTCGTATAATAACTAAACAGAATCATTCTCAGAAACTTCTTTGTGATGTGTGCGTTCAACTCACAGAGTTTAACCTTTCTTTTCATAGAGCAGGTTGGAAGCACTCTCTTTGTAAAGTCTGCAAGCAGATATTTGGACCTTTTTGAGGCCTTCGTTGGAAACGGGATTTCTTCATATACTGCTAGACCGAAGAATTCTCAGTAACTTCTTTGGGTTGTGTGTATTCAATTCACAGAGTTGAACCTTTCTTTAGACCGAGCAGATTTGAAACTCTCCTTTCGTTGCTTTTGCAAGTGGAGATTTCAAGCGATTTGAGGCCAATTGTAGAAAAGGAAATATCTTCGTATAAAAACTAGACAGAACAATTCTCAGAAACTGCTCTGTGATTTGTGCGTTCAACTCACAGATTTTAAACTTTCTTTTCATAGAGCAGTTTGGAAACACTCTTTTTGTAAAGTCTGCAAGCGGATATTTGGACCTCTTTCAGGCCTTCTTTGGAAACGGGATTTCTCCATATACTGCTAGCCCGAATAATTTTCAGTAACTACTTTGTGTTGTGTGTATTCAACTCACAGATTTGAACCTTTCTTTAGACAGAGCAGATTTGAAACGCTCTTTTCGTGGCTTTTGCAAGTAAAGATTTCAAGCGATTTGAGGCCAATGGTAGAAAAGGAAATATCTTCGTATAAAAACTAGACAGAATCATTCTCAGAATCTACTTTGTGATGTGTGCGTGCAACTCACGGAGATTAACCTTTCTTTTCATAGAGAAGTTTGGAAACACTCTGTCTGTAAGGTCTGCAAGTGGATATTTAGATTTCTGTGAGACCTTCGTTGCAAACGGGATTTCTTCATATACTGCCCGACAGAAGAATTCTCAGTTACTACTTTCTGCTGTGTGCATTCAACTCACAGAGTTGAACCTTCCTTTATTCAGAGCAGTTTTGAAACACTCTTTTTGTGGAATTTGCAAGTGGAGATTTCAAGGGATTTGAGGCCAATCTTAGAAATGGAAATATCTTCGAATTGAAACTACACAGAATCATTCGCAGAAACTAGTTTGTGATGTGTGCGTTCAACTCACAGAGTTTAACGTTTCTTTTCATAGAGCAGTTTGGAAACGCTGTCTTTGTAAAGTCTGCAAGTGGATATTAGGACCTCTTTGAGGCCTTCGTTGGAAACGGGATTTCCTCCTATAATGCTAGACAGAAGAATTCCCAGTCACTTCTTTGTGTTGTGTGCATTCAACTCAGAGATTTGAACCTTCCTTTAGAGAGAGCACATTTGAAACACTCTTTTTGTGTAATTTGCTAGTGCAGATTTCAAGCTCTTCGAGGACAATGGTAGGAAAGGAAATATCTTCGTATTAAAACTAGACAAAATCATTCTCAGAAACTACTTTGTGATGTGTGCGTTCCACTCACAGACTTTAACCTTTCTTTTAATTGAGCAGTTTGGAAACACTCTCTTTGTAAAGTCTGCAGTAGGATATTTGGACCTCTTTGAGGCCTTTCGTTGGAAACGGGATTTCTTCATATAATGCTAGATAGAAGCATTTTCAGTAACTACTTTGTGTTGTGTGAATTCAACTCACAGATTTGAACCTTTCTTTAGACAGAGCAGATTTGAAACGCTCTTTTCGTGGCTTTTGCATGTGGAGGTTTCAAACGATTTGAGGCCAATGGTAGAAAAGGAAATATCTTCGTATAAAAACTAGAGAGAATCATTCTCAGAAATTACTTTCTGATGTGTGCGTGCAACTCACGGAGATTAACCTTTCTTTTCATAGAGCAGTTTGGAAAGACTCTGTCTGTAAGGTCTGCAAGTGGATATTTAGATTTCTGTGAGGCCTTCGTTGCAAACGGGATTTCTTCATATACTCACAGACAGAAGAATTCTCAGTAACTCTTTGTGTTGTGTGCATTCAACTCACGGAGTTGAACCTTCCTTTATTCAGAGCAGTTTTGAAACACTCTTTTTGTGGAATTTGCAAGTGGAGATTTCAAGGGATTTGAGGTCAATCTTAGAAATGGAAATATCTTCGAATTAAAACTACACAGAATCGTTCGCAGAAACTAGTTTGTGATGTGTGCGTTCAACTCACAGAGTTTAACGTTACTTTCCATAGAGCAGTTTGGAAACGCTCTCTTTGTAAAGTCTCCAAGTGGATATTTGGAGCTGTTTGAGCCCTTCGTTGGAAACGGGACTTCTTCATATAATGCTAGACAGAAGAATACTCAGTAACTTCTTTGTGCTGTGTGTATTCAACTCACAGAGTTGAACTTTTCTTTAGACAGAGCAGATTTGATACTCTCTTTTCGTGGCTTTTGCCAGAGGAGATTTCAAGTCATTGGAGGCCAATGGTAGAAAAGAAAATATCTTCGTATAATAACTAAACAGAATCATTCTCAGAAACTTCTTTGTGATGTGTGCGTTCAACTCACAGAGTTTAACCTTTCTTTTCATAGAGCAGGTTGGAAGCACTCTCTTTGTAAAGTCTGCAAGCAGATATTTGGACCTTTTTGAGGCCTTCGTTGGAAACGGGATTTCTTCATATACTGCTAGACCGAAGAATTCTCAGTAACTTCTTTGGGTTGTGTGTATTCAATTCACAGAGTTGAACCTTTCTTTAGACCGAGCAGATTTGAAACTCTCCTTTCGTTGCTTTTGCAAGTGGAGATTTCAAGCGTTTTGAGGCCAATTGTAGAAAAGGAAATATCTTCGTATAAAAACTAGACAGAACAATTCTCAGAAACTGCTCTGTGATTTGTGCGTTCAACTCACAGATTTTAAACTTTCTTTTCATAGAGCAGTTTGGAAACACTCTTTTTGTAAAGTCTGCAAGCGGATATTTGGACCTCTTTCAGGCCTTCTTTGGAAACGGGATTTCTCCATATACTGCTAGCCCGAAGAATTTTCAGTAACTACTTTGTGTTGTGTGTATTCAACTCACAGATTTGAACCTTTCTTTAGACAGAGCAGATTTGAAATGCTCTTTTCGTGGCTTTTGCAAGTAAAGATTTCAAGCGATTTGAGGCCAATGGTAGAAAAGGAAATATCTTCGTATAAAAACTAGACAGAATCATTCTCAGAATCTACTTTGTGATGTGTGCGTGCAACTCACGGAGATTAACCTTTCTTTTCATAGAGAAGTTTGGAAACACTCTGTCTGTAAGGTTTGCAAGTGGATATTTAGATTTCTGTGAGGCCTTCGTTGCAAACGGGATTTCTTCATATACTGTCCGACAGAAGAATTCTCAGTTACTACTTTCAGTTGTGTGCATTCAACTTACAGAGTTGAACCTTCCTTTATTCAGAGCAGTTTTGAAACACTCTTTTTGTGGAATTTGCAAGTGGAGATTTCAAGGGATTTGAGGCCAATCTTAGAAATGGAAATATCTTCGAATTAAAACTACACAGAATCATTCGCAGAAACTAGTTTGTGATGTGTGCGTTCAACTCACAGAGTCTAACGTTTCTTTTCATAGAGCAGTTTGGAAACGCTGTCTTTGTAAAGTCTGCAAGTGGATATTAGGACCTCTTTGAGGCCTTCGTTTGAAACGGGATTTCCTCCTATAATGCTAGACAGAAGAATTCCCAGTCACTTCTTTGTGTTGTGTGCATTCAACTCAGACATTTGAACCTTCCTTTAGAGAGAGCACATTTAAAACACTCTTTTTGTGTAATTTGCTAGTGCAGATTTCAAGCTCTTCGAGGACAATGGTAGGAAAGGAAATATCTTCGTATTAAAACTAGACAAAATCATTCTCAGAAACTACTTTGTGATGTGTGCGTTCCACTCACAGAGTTTAACCTTTCTTTTAATTGAGCAGTTTGGAAACACTCTCTTTGTAAAGCCTGCAGTAGGATATTTGGACCTCTTTGAGGCCTTCGTTTGAAACGGGATTTCTTCATATAATGCTAGATAGAAGAATTCTCAGTAACTTGTTTGTGTTGTGTGTATTCAACTAACAGAGTTGAACCTTTCTTTAGAAAGAGCAGTTTTCAAACACTCTGTTTGTGCAATTTCCAATGGAGATTTCTAGGGATTTGAGGCCAGTCTTAGAAATGGAAATATCTTTGTATAAAAACTAGACAGTATCATTCTGAGATACTACCTTGTGATGTGTGCGTTCAACTCACAGAGTTTAACCTTTCTCTTCATAGAGCAGGTTGGAAACACTCTATTTGTAAAGTCTGCAAGTGGATATTTGGACCTCTTTGAGGCCTTCTTTGGAAACGGGATTTCTTCCTGTAATGGTGGGCAGCAGTATTCTCAGTCACTTCTTTGTGTTGTGTGCATTCAACTCAGAGATTTGAACCTTCCTTTAGAGAGAGCACATTTGAAACACTCTATTTGTGTAATTTGCTAGTACAGATTTCAAGCTCTTCGAGGACAATGGTAGAAAAGGAAATATCTTCGTATGAAAACGAGACAAACTCATTCTCAGAAACTACTTTGTGATGTGTGCGTTCCACTCACAGAGTTTAACCTTTCTTTTAATTGAGCAGTTTGGAAACACTATTTTTGTAAAGTCTGCAAGTGGATATTTGGACTTCTTTGAGCCCTTCGTTGGAAACGGGATTTCTCCATATACTGCTAGACCGAAGCATTTTCAGTAACTACTTTGTGTTGTGTGTATTCAACTCACAGATTTGAACCTTTCTTTAGACAGAGCAGATTTGAAACGCTCTTTTCGTGGCTTTTGCATGTGGAGGTTTCAAACGATTTGAGGCCAATGGTAGAAAAGGAAATATCTTCGTATAAAAACTAGAGAGAATCATTCTCAGAAATTACTTTCTGATGTGTGCGTGCAACTCACGGAAGATTAACCTTTCTTTTCATAGAGCAGTTTGGAAAGACTCTGTCTGTAAGGTCTGCAAGTGGATATTTAGATTTCTGTGAGGCCTTCGTTGCAAATGGGATTTCTTCATATACTCACAGACAGAAGAATTCTCAGTAACTCTTTGTGTTGTGTGCATTCAACTCACGGAGTTGAACCTTCCTTTATTCAGAGCAGTTTTGAAACACTCTTTTTGTGGAATTTGCAAGTGGAGATTTCAAGGGATTTGAGGCCAATCTTAGAAATGGAAATATCTTCGAATTAAAACTACACAGAATCGTTCGCAGAAACTAGTTTGTGATGTGTGCGTTCAACTCACAGAGTTTAACGTTTCTTTTCATAGAGCAGTTTGGAAACGCTCTCTTTGTAAAGTCTCCAAGTGGATATTTGGAGCTCTTTGAGCCCTTCGTTGGAAACGGGACTTCTTCATATAATGCTAGACAGAAGAATACTCAGTAACTTCTTTGTGCTGTGTGTATTCAACTCACAGAGTTGAACTTTTCTTTAGACAGAGCAGATTTGATACTCTCTTTTCGTGGCTTTTGCCAGAGGAGATTTCAAGTCATTGGAGGCCAATGGTAGGAAAGAAAATATCTTCGTATAATAACTAAACAGAATCATTCTCAGAAGCTTCTTTGTGATGTGTGCGTTCAACTCACAGAGTTTAACCTTTCTTTTCATAGAGCAGGTTGGAAGCACTCTCTTTGTAAAGTCTGCAAGCAGATATTTGGACCTTTTTGAGGCCTTCGTTGGAAACGGGATTTCTTCATATACTGCTAGACCAAAGAATTCTCAGTAACTTCTTTTGGTTGTGTGTATGCAATTCACAGCGTTGAACCTTTCTTTAGACCGAGCAGATTTGAAACTCTCCTTTCGTTGCTTTTGCAAGTGGAGATTTCAAGCGATTTGAGGCCAATGTGTAAAAAAGGAAATATCTTCGTATAAAAACTAGACAGAACAATTCTCAGAAACTGCTCTGTGATTTTTGCGTTCAACTCACAGATTTTAAACTTTCTTTTCATAGAGCAGTTTGGAAACACTCTTTTTGTAAAGTCTGCAAGCGGATATTTGGACCTCTTTCAGGCCTTCTTTGGAAACGGGATTTCTCCATATACTGCTAGCCCGAAGAATTTTCAGTAACTACTTTGTGTTGTGTGTATTCAACTCACAGATTTGAACCTTTCTTTAGACAGAGCAGATTTGAAACGCTCTTTTCGTGGCTTTTGCAAGTAAAGATTTCAAGCGATTTGAGGCCAATGGTAGAAAAGGAAATATCTTCGTATAAAAACTAGACAGAATCGTTCTCAGAATCTACTTTGTGATGTGTGCGTGCAACTCACGGAGATTAACCTTTCTTTTCATAGAGAAGTTTGGAAAGAGTCTGTCTGTAAGGTCTGCAAGTGGATATTTAGATTTCTGTGAGGCCTTCGTTGCAAACGGGATTTCTTCATATACTGCCCGACAGAAGAATTCTGTTACTACTTTCTGTTGTGTGCATTCAACTCACAGAGTTGAACCTTCCTATATTCAGAGCAGTTTTGAAACACTCTTTTTGTGGAATTTGCAAGTGAAGATTTCAAGGGATTTGAGGCCAATCTTAGAAATGGAAATATCTTCGAATTAAAACTACACAGAATCATTCGCAGAAACTAGTTTGTGATGTGTGCGTTCAACTCACAGAGTTTAACGTTTCTTTTCATAGAGCAGTTTGGAAACGCTGTCTTTGTAAAGTCTGCAAGTGGATATTAGGACCTCTTTGAGGCCTTCGTTGGAAACGGGATTTCCTCCTATAATGCTAGACAGAAGAATTCCCAGTCACTTCTTTGTGTTGTGTGCATTCAACTCAGAGATTTGAACCTTCCTTTAGAGAGAGCACATTTGAAACACTCTTTTTGTGTAATTTGCTAGTGCAGATTTCAAGCTCTTCGAGGACAATGGTAGGAAAGGAAATATCTTTGTATTAAAACTAGACAAAATCATTCTCAGAAACTACTTTGTGATGTGTGCGTTCCACTCACAGACTTTAACCTTTCTTTTAATTGAGCAGTTTGGAAACACTCTCTTTGTAAAGTCTGCAGTAGGATATTTGGACCTCTTTGAGGCCTTCGTTGGAAACGGGATTTCTTCATATAATGCTAGATAGAAGAATTCTCAGTAACTTGTTTGTGTTGTGTGTATTCAACTAACAGAGTTGAACCTTCCTTTAGAAAGAGCAGTTTTCAAACACTCTGTTTGTGCAATTTCCAATGGAGATTTCTAGGGATTTGAGGCCAGTCTTAGAAATGGAAATATCTTTGTATAAAAACTAGACAGTGTCATTCTGAGATACTACCTTGTGATGTGTGCGTTCAACTCACAGAGTTTAACCTTTCTTTTCACAGAGCAGTTTGGAAACACTCTATTTGTAAAGTCTGCAAGTGGATATTTGGACCTCTTTGAGGCCTTCGTTGGAAACGGGATTTCTTCCTATAATGCTAGACAGAAGTATTCTCAGTCACTTCTTTGTGTTGTGTGCATTCAACTCAGAGATTTGAACCTTCCTTTAGAGAGAGCACATTTGAAACACTCTATTTGTGTAATTTGCTAGTACAGATTTCAAGCTCTTCGAGGACAATGGTAGAAAAGGAAATATCTTCGTATGAAAACTAGACAAAATCATTCTCAGAAACTACTTTGTGATGTGTGCGTTCCACTCACAGAGTTTAACCTTTCATTTAATTGAGCAGTTTGGAAACACTATTTTTGTAAAGTCTGCAAGTGGATATTTGGACTTCTTTGAGCCCTTCGTTGGAAACGGGATTTCTCCATATACTGCTAGACTGAAGCATTTTCAGTAACTACTTTGTGTTGTGTGTATTCAACTCACAGATTTGAACCTTTCTTTCGACAGAGCAGATTTGAAACGCTCTTTTCGTGGCTTTTGCATGTGGAGGTTTCAAACGATTTGAGGCCAATGGTAGAAAAGGAAATATCTTCGTATAAAAACTAGAGAGAATCATTCTCAGAATCTACTTTGTGATGTGTGCGTGCAACTCACGGAGATTAACCTTTCTTTTCATAGAGCAGTTTGGAAAGACTCTGTCTGTAAGGTCTGCAAGTGGATATTTAGATTTCTGTGAGGCCTTCGTTGCAAACGGGATTTCTTCATATACTCACAGACAGAAGAATTCTCAGTAACTACTTTGTGTTGTGTAAATTCAACACACAGAGTTGAACCTTCCTTTATTCAGAGCAGTTTTGAAACACTCTTTTTGTGGAATTTGCAAGTGGAGATTTCAAGGGATTTGAGGCCAATCTTAGAAATGGAAATATCTTCGAATTAAAACTACACAGAATCATTCGCAGAAACTAGTTTGTGATGTGTGCGTTCAACTCACAGAGTTTAACCTTTCTTTTCATAGAGCAGTTTGGAAACGCTGTCTTTGTAAAGTCTGCAAGTGGATATTAGGACCTCTTTGAGGCCTTCGTTGGAAACGGGATTTCCTCCTATAATGCTAGACAGAAGAATTCCCAGTCACTTCTTTGTGTTGTGTGCATTCAACTCAGAGATTTGAACCTTCCTTAGAGAGAGCACATTTATAACACTCTTTTTGTGTAATTTGCTAGTGCAGATTTCAAGCTCTTCGAGGACAATTGTAGGAAAGGAAATATCTTCGTATGAAAACTAGACAAAATCATTCTCAGAAACTACTTTGTGATGTGTGCGTTCCACTCACAGAGTTTAACCTTTCTTTTAATTGAGCAGTTTGGAAACACTCTCTTTGTAAAGTCTGCAGTAGGATATTTGGACCTCTTTGAGGCCTTCGTTGGAAACGGGATTTCCTCCTATAATGCTAGATAGAAGAATTCTCAGTAACTTGTTTGTGTTGTGTGTATTCAACTAACAGAGTTGAACCTTCCTTTAGAAAGAGCAGTTTTCAAACACTCTGTTTGTGCAATTTCCAATGGAGATTTCTAGGGATTTGAGGCCAGTCTTAGAAATGGAAATATCTTTGTATAAAAACTAGACAGTGTCATTCTGAGATACTACCTTGTGATGTGTGCGTTCAAATCACAGAGTTTAACCTTTCTTTTCATAGAGCAGTTTGGAAACACTCTATTTGTAAAGTCTGCAAGTGGATATTTGGACCTCTTTGAGGCCTTCGTTGGAAACGGGATTTCTTCCTATAATGCTAGACAGAAGTATTGTGAGTCACTTCTTTGTGTTTTGTGCATTCAACTCAGAGATTTGAACCTTCCTTTAGAGAGAGCACATTTGAAACACTCTTTTTGTGTTATTTGCTAGTGCAGATTTCAAGCTCTTCGAGGACAATGGTAGAAAAGGAAATATCTTCGTATGAAAACTAGACAAACTCATTCTCAGAAACTACTTTGTGATGTGTGCGTTCCACTCACAGAGTTTAACCTTTCTTTTAATTGAGCAGTTTGGAAACACTATTTTTGTAAAGTCTGCAAGTGGATATTTGGACTTCTTTGAGCCCTTCGTTGGAAACGGGATTTCTCCATATACTGCTAGACCGAAGCATTTTCAGTAACTACTTTGTGTTGTGTGTATTCAACTCACAGATTTGAACCTTTCTTTAGACAGAGCAGATTTGAAACGCTCTTTTCGTGGCTTTTGCATGTGGAGGTTTCAAACGATTTGAGGCCAATGGTAGAAAAGGAAATATCTTCGTATAAAAACTAGAGAGAATCATTCTCAGAAATTACTTTCTGATGTGTGCGTGCAACTCACGGAGATTAACCTTTCTTTTCATAGAGCAGTTTGGAAAGACTCTGTCTGTAAGGTCTGCAAGTGGATATTTAGATTTCTGGGAGGCCTTCGTTGCAAACGGGATTTCTTCATATACTCACAGACAGAAGAATTCTCAGTAACTCTTTGTGTTGTGTGCATTCAACTCATGGAGTTGAACCTTCCTTTATTCAGAGCAGTTTTGAAACACTCTTTTTGTGGAATTTGCAAGTGGAGATTTCAAGGGATTTGAGGCCAATCTTAGAAATGGAAATATCTTCGAATTAAAACTACACAGAAATCGTTCGCAGAAACTAGTTTGTGATGTGTGTGTTCAACTCACAGAGTTTAACGTTTCTTTTCATAGAGCAGTTTGGAAACGCTCTCTTTGTAAAGTCTCCAAGTGGATATTTGGAGCTGTTTGAGCCCTTCGTTGGAAACGGGACTTCTTCATATAATGCTAGACAGAAGAATACTCAGTAACTTCTTTGTGCTGTGTGTATTCAACTCACAGAGTTGAAGTTTTCTTTAGACAGAGCAGATTTGATAGTCTCTTTTCGTGGCTTTTGCCAGAGGAGATTTCAAGTCATTGGAGGCCAATGGTAGAAAAGAAAATATCTTCGTATAATAACTAAACAGAATCATTCTCAGAAACTTCTTTGTGATGTGTGCGTTCAACTCACAGAGTTTAACCTTTCTTTTCATAGAGCAGGTTGGAAGCACTCTCTTTGTAAAGTCTGCATGCAGATATTTGGACTTTTTGAGGCCTTCGTTGGAAACGGGATTTCTTCATATACTGCTAGACCGAAGAATTCTCAGTAACTTCTTTGGGTTGTGTGTATTCAATTCACAGAGTTGAACCTTTCTTTAGACCGAGCAGATTTGAAACTCTCCTTTCGTTGCTTTTGCAAGTGGAGATTTCAAGCGATTTGAGGCCAATTGTAGAAAAGGAAATATGTTCGTATAAAAACTAGACAGAACAATTCTCAGAAACTGCTCTGTGATTTGTGCGTTCAACTCACAGATTTTAAACTTTCTTTTCATAGAGCAGATTGGAAACACTCTTTTTGTAAAGTCTGCAAGCGGATATTTGGACCTCTTTCAGGCCTTCTTTGGAAACGGGATTTCTCCATATACTGCTAGCCCGAAGCATTTTCAGTAACTACTTTGTGTTGTGTGTATTCAACTCACAGATTTGAACCTTTCTTTAGACAGAGCAGATTTGAAACGCTCTTTTCGTGGCTTTTGCAAGTAAAGATTTCAAGCGATTTGAGGCCAATGGTAGAAAAGGAAATATCTTCGTATAAAAACTAGACAGAATCATTCTCAGAATCTACTTTGTGATGTGTGCGTGCAACTCACGGAGATTAACCTTTCTTTTCATAGAGAAGTTTGGAAACACTCTGTCTGTAAGGTCTGCAAGTGGATATTTAGATTTCTGTGAGGCCTTCGTTGCAAACGGGATTTCTTCATATACTGCCCGACAGAAGAATTCTCAGTTACTACTTTCTGTTGTGTGCATTCAACTCACAGAGTTGAATCTTCCTTTATTCAGAGCAGTTTTGAAACACTCTTTTTGTGGAATTTGCAAGTGGAGATTTCAAGGGATTTGAGGCCAATCTTAGAAATGTAAATATCTTCGAATTAAAACTACACAGAATCATTCGCAGAAACTAGTTTGTGATGTGTGCGTTCAACTCACAGAGTTTAACGTTTCTTTTCATAGAGCAGTTTGGAAACGCTGTCTTTGTAAAGTCTGCAAGTGGATATTAGGACCTCTTAGAGGCCTTCGTTGGAAACGGGATTTCCTCCTATAATGCTAGACAGAAGAATTCCCAGTCACTTCTTTGTGTTGTGTGCATTCAACTCAGAGATTTGAACCTTCCTTTAGAGAGAGCACATTTAAAACACTCTTTTTGTGTAATTTGCTAGTGCAGATTTCAAGCTCTTCGAGGACAATGGTAGGAAAGGAAATATCTTCGTATGAAAACTAGACAAAATCATTCTCAGCAAACTACTTTGTGATGTGTGCGTTCCACTCACAGAGTTTAACCTTTCTTTTAATTGAGCAGTTTGGAAACACTCTCTTTGTAAAGCCTGCAGTAGGATATTTGGACCTCTTTGAGGCCTTCGTTGGAAACGGGATTTCTTCATATAATGCTAGATAGAAGAATTCTCAGTAACTTTTTTGTGTTGTGTGTATTCAACTAACAGAGTTGAACCTTCCTTTAGAAAGAGCAGTTTTCAAACACTCTGTTTGTGCAATTTCCAATGGAGATTTCTAGGGATTTGATGCCAGTCTTAGAAATGGAAATATCTTTGTATAAAAACTAGACAGTGTCATTCTGAGATACTACCTTGTGATGTGTGCGTTCAACTCACAGAGTTTAACCTTTCTTTTCATAGAGCAGTTTGGAAACACTCTATTTGTAAAGTCTGCAATTGGATATTTGGACCTCTTTGAGGCCTTCGTTAGAAACAGGATTTCTTCCTATAATGCTAGACAGAAGTATTCTCAGTCACTTCTTTGTGTTGTGTGCATTCAACTCAGAGATTTGAACCTTCCTTTAGAGAGAGCACATTTGAAACACTCTTTTTGTGTAATTTGCTAGTGCAGATTTCAAGCTCTTCGAGGACAATGGTAGAAAAGGAAATATCTTCGTATGAAAACAAGACAAACTCATTCTCAGAAACTACTTTGTGATGTGTGCGTTCCACTCACAGAGTTTAACCTTTCTTTTAATTGAGCAGTTTGGAAACACTATTTTTGTAAAGTCTGCAAGTGGATATTTGGACTTCTTTGAGCCCTTCGTTGGAAACGGGATTTCTCCATATACTGCTAGACTGAAGCATTTTCAGTAACTACTTTGTGTTGTGTGTATTCAACTCACAGATTTGAACCTTTCTTTAGACAGAGCAGATTTGAAACGCTCTTTTCGTGGCTTTTGCATGTGGAGGTTTCAAACGATTTGAGGCCAATGGTAGAAAAGGAAATATCTTCGTATAAAAACTAGAGAGAATCATTCTCAGAAATTACTTTCTGATGTGTGCGTGCAACTCACGGAGATTAACCTTTCTTTTCATAGAGCAGTTTGGAAAGACTCTGTCTGTAAGGTCTGCAAGTGGATATTTAGATTTCTGTGAGGCCTTCGTTGCAAACGGGATTTCTTCATATACTCACAGACAGAAGAATTCTCAGTAACTCTTTGTGTTGTGTGCATTCAACTCACGGAGTTGAACCTTCCTTTATTCAGAGCAGTTTTGAAACACTCTTTTTGTGGAATTTGCAAGTGGAGATTTCAAGGGATTTGAGGCCAATCTTAGAAATGGAAATATCTTCGAATTAAAACTACACAGAATCGTTCGCAGAAACTAGTTTGTGATGTGTGCGTTCAACTCACAGAGTTTAACGTTTCTTTTCATAGAGCAGTTTGGAAACGCTCTCTTTGTAAAGTCTCCAAGTGGATATTTGGAGCTGTTTGAGCCCTTCGTTGGAAACGGGACTTCTTCATATAATGCTAGACAGAAGAATACTCAGTAACTTCTTTTTGCTGTGTGTATTCAACTCACAGAGTTGAACTTTTCTTTAGACAGAGCAGATTTGATAATCTCTTTTCGTGGCTTTTGCCAGAGGAGATTTCAAGTCATTGGAGGCCAATGGTAGAAAAGAAAATATCTTCGTATAATAACTAAACAGAATCATTCTCAGAAACTTCTTTGTGATGTGTGCGTTCAACTCACAGAGTTTAACCTTTCTTTTCATAGAGCAGGTTGGAAGCACTCTCTTTGTAAAGTCTGCAAGCAGATATTTGGACCTTTTTGAGGCCTTCGTTGGAAACGGGATTTCTTCATATACTGCTAGACCGAAGAATTCTCAGTAACTTCTTTGGGTTGTGTGTATTCAATTCACAGAGTTGAACCTTTCTTTAGACCGAGCAGATTTGAAACTCTCCTTTCGTTGCTTTTGCAAGTGGAGATTTCAAACGTTTTGAGGCCAATTGTAGAAAAGGAAATATCTTCGTATAAAAACTAGACAGAACAATTCTCAGAAACTGCTCTGTGATTTGTGCGTTCAACTCACAGATTTTAAACTTTCTTTTCATAGAGCAGTTTGGAAACACTCTTTTTGTAAAGTCTGCAAGCGGATATTTGGACCTCTTTCAGGCCTTCTTTGGAAACGGGATTTCTCCATATACTGCTAGCCCGAAGCATTTTCAGTAACTACTTTGTGTTGTGTGTATTCAACTCACAGATTTGAACCTTTCTTTAGACAGAGCAGATTTGAAACGCTCTTTTCGTGGCTTTTGCAAGTAAAGATTTCAAGCGATTTGAGGCCAATGGTAGAAAAGGAAATATCTTCGTATAAAAACTAGACAGAATCATTCTCAGAATCTACTTTGCGATGTGTGCGTGCAACTCACGGAGATTAACCTTTCTTTTCATAGAGAAGTTTGGAAACACTCTGTCTGTAAGGTCTGCAAGTGGATATTTAGATTTCTGTGAGGCCTTCGTTGCAAACGGGATTTCTTCATATACTGCCCGACAGAAGAATTCTCAGTTACTACTTTCTGCTGTGTGCATTCAACTCACAGAGTTGAACCTTCCTTTATTCAGAGCAGTTTTGAAACACTCTTTTTGTGGAATTTGCAAGTGGAGATTTCAAGGGATTTGAGGCCAATCTTAGAAATGGAAATATCTTCGAATTAAAACTACACAGAATCATTCGCAGAAACTAGTTTGTGATGTGTGCGTTCAACTCACAGAGTTTAACGTTTCTTTTCATAGAGCAGTTTGGAAACGCTGTCTTTGTAAAGTCTGCAAGTGGATATTAGGACCTCTTTGAGGCCTTCGTTGGAAACGGGATTTCCTCCTATAATGCTAGACAGAAGAATTCCCAGTCACTTCTTTGTGTTGTGTGCATTCAACTCAGAGATTTGAACCTTCCTTTAGAGAGAGCACATTTGAAACACTCTTTTTGTGTAATTTGCTAGTGCAGATTTCAAGCTCTTCGAGGACAATGGTAGGAAAGGAAATATCTTCGTATTAAAACTAGACAAAATCATTCTCAGAAACTACTTTGTGATGTGTGCGTTCCACTCACAGAGTTTAACCTTTCTTTTAATTGAGCAGTTTGGAAACACTCTCTTGGTAAAGCCTGCAGTAGGATATTTGGACCTCTTTGAGGACTTCGTTGGAAACGGGATTTCTTCATATAATGCTAGATAGAAGAATTCTCAGTAACTTGTTTGTGTTGTGTGTATTCAACTAACAGAGTTGAACCTTCCTTTAGAAAGAGCAGTTTTCAAACACTCTGTTTGTGCAATTTCCAATGGAGATTTCTCGGGATTTGAGGCCAGTCTTAGAAATGGAAATATCTTTGTATAAAAACTAGACAGTGTCATTCTGAGATACTACCTTGTGATGTGTGCGTTCAACTCACAGAGTTTAACCTTTCTTTTCATAGAGCAGTTTGGAAACACTCTATTTGTAAAGTCTGCAAGTGGGTATTTGGACCTCTTTGAGGCCTTCGTTGGAAACGCGATTTCTTCCTATAATGCTAGACAGAAGAATTCTCAGTCACTTCTTTGTGTTGTGTGCATTCAACTCAGAGATTTGAACCTTCCTTTAGAGAGAGCACATTTAAAACACTCTTTTTGTGTAATTTGCTAGTGCAGATTTCAAGCTCTTCGAGGACAATGGTAGAAAAGGAAATATCTTCGTATGAAAACTAGACAAACTCATTCTCAGAAACTACTTTGTGATGTGTGCGTTCCACTCACAGAGTTTAACCTTTCTTTTAATTGAGCAGTTTGGAAACACTATTTTTGTAAAGTCTGCAAGTGGATATTTGGACTTCTTTGAGCCCTTCGTTGGAAACGGGATTTCTCCATATACTGCTAGACCGAAGCATTTTCAGTAACTACTTTGTGTTGTGTGTATTCAACTCACAGATTTGAACCTTTCTTTAGACAGAGCAGATTTGAAACGCTCTTTTCGTGGCTTTTGCATGTGGAGGTTTCAAACGATTTGAGGCCAATAGTAGAAAAGGAAATATCTTCGTATAAAAACTAGAGAGAATCATTCTCAGCAATTACTTTCTGATGTGTGCGTGCAACTCACGGAGATTAACCTTTCTTTTCATAGAGCAGTTTGGAAAGACTCTGTCTGTAAGGTCTGCAAGTGGATATTTAGATTTCTGTGAGGCCTTCGTTGCAAACGGGATTTCTTCATATACTCACAGACAGAAGAATTCTCAGTAACTATTTGTGTTGTGTGCATTCAACTCACGGAGTTGAACCTTCCTTTATTCGGAGCAGTTTTGAAACACTCTTTTTGTGGAATTTGCAAGTCGAGATTTCAAGGGATTTGAGGCCAATCTTAGAAATGGAAATATCTTCGAATTAAAACTACACAGAATCATTCGCAGAAACTAGTTTGTGATGTGTGCGTTCAACTCACAGAGTTTAACGTTTCTTTTCATAGAGCAGTTTGGAAACGCTCTCTTTGTAAAGTCTCCAAGTGGATATTTGGAGCTGTTTGAGCCCTTCGTTGGAAACGGGACTTCTTCATATAATGCTAGACAGAAGAATACTCAGTAACTTCTTTGTGCTGTGTGTATTCAACTCACAGAGTTGAACTTTTCTTTAGACAGAGCAGATTTGATACTCTCTTTTCGTGGCTTTTGCCAGAGGAGATTTCAAGTCATTGGAGGCCAATGGTAGAAAAGAAAATATCTTCGTATAATAACTAAACAGAATCATTCTCAGAAACTTCTTTGTGATGTGTGCGTTCAACTCACAGAGTTTAACCTTTCTTTTCATAGAGCAGGTTGGAAGCACTCTCTTTGTAAAGTCTGCAAGCAGATATTTGGACCTTTCTGAGGCCTTCGTTGGAAACGGGATTTCTTCATATACTGCTAGACCGAAGAATTCTCAGTAACTTCTTTGGGTTGTGTGTATTCAATTCACAGAGTTGAACCTTTCTTTAGACCGAGCAGATTTGAAACTCTCCTTTCGTTGCTTTTGCAAGTGGAGATTTCAAGCGATTTGAGGCCAATTGTGGAAAAGGAAATATCTTCGTATAAAAACTAGACAGAACAATTCTCAGAAACTGCTCTGTGATTTGTGCGTTCAACTCACAGATTTTAAACTTTCTTTTCATAGAGCAGTTTGGAAACACTCTTTTTGTAAAGTCTGCAAGCGGATATTTGGACCTCTTTCAGGCCTTCTTTGGAAACGGGATTTCTCCATATACTGCTAGCCCGAAGAATTTTCAGTAACTACTTTGTGTTGTGTGTATTCAACTCACAGATTTGAACCTTTCTTTAGACAGAGCAGATTTGAAACGCTCTTTTCGTGGCTTTTGCAAGTAAAGATTTCAAGCGATTTGAGGCCAATGGTAGAAAAGGAAATATCTTCGTATAAAAACTAGACAGAATCATTCTCAGAATCTACTTTGTGATGTGTGCGTGCAACTCACGGAGATTAACCTTTCTTTTCATAGAGAGGTTTGGAAACACTCTGTCTGTAAGGTCTGCAAGTGGATATTTAGATTTCTGTGAGGCCTTCGTTGCAAACGGGATTTCTTCAAATACTGCCCGACAGAAGAATTCTCAGTAACTACTTTGTGTTGTGTGCATTCAACTCACAGAGTTGAACCTTCCTTTATTCAGAGCAGTTTTGAAACACTCTTTTTGTGGAATTTGCAACTGGAGATTTCAAGGGATTTGAGGCCAATCTTAGAAATGGAAATATCTTCGAATTAAAACTACACAGAATCATTCGCAGAAACTAGTTTGTGATGTGTGCGTTCAACTCACAGAGTTTAACGTTTCTTTTCATAGAGCAGTTTGGAAACGCTGTCTTTGTAAGGTCTGCAAGTGGATATTAGGACCTCTTTGAGGCCTTCGTTGGAAACGGGATTTCCTCCTATAATGCTAGACAGAAGTATTCTCAGTCACTTCTTTCTGTTGTGTGCATTCAACTCAGAGATTTGAACCTTCCTTTAGAGAGAGCACATTTGAAACACTCTTTTTGTGTAATTTGCTAGTGCAGATTTCAAGCTCTTCGAGGACAATGGTAGGAAAGGAAATATCTTCGTATTAAAACTAGACAAAATCATTCTCAGAAACTACTTTGTGATGTGTGCGTTCCACTCACAGAGTTTAACCTTTCTTTTAATTGAGCAGTTTGGAAACACTCTCTTTGTAAAGTCTGCAGTAGGATATTTGGACCTCTTTGAGGCCTTCGTTGGAAACGGGATTTCTTCATATAATGCTAGATAGAAGAATTCTCAGTAACTTGTTTGTGTTGTGTGTATTCAACTAACAGAGTTGAACCTTCCTTTAGAAAGAGCAGTTTTCAAACACTCTGTTTGTGCAATTTCCAATGGAGATTTCTAGGGATTTGAGGCCAGTCTTAGAAATGGAAATATCTTTGTATAAAAACTAGACAGTGTCATTCTGAGATACTACCTTGTGATGTGTGCGTTCAACTCACAGAGTTTAACCTTTCTTTTCATAGAGCAGTTTGGAAACACTCTATTTGTAAAGTCTGCAAGTGGATATTTGGACCTCTTTGAGGCCTTCGTTGGAAACGGGATTTCTTCCTATAATGCTAGACAGAAGTATTCTCAGTCACTTCTTTGTGTTGTGTGCATTCAACTCAGAGATTTGAACCTTCCTTTAGAGAGAGCACATTTGAAACACTCTTTTTGTGTAATTTGCTAGTGCAGATTTCAAGCTCTTCGAGGACAATGGTAGAAAAGGAAATATCTTCGTATGAAAACTAGACAAACTCATTCTCAGAAACTACTTTGTGATGTGTGCGTTCCACTCACAGAGTTTAACCTTTCTTTTAATTGAGCAGTTTGGAAACACTATTTTTGTAAAGTCTGCAAGTGGATATTTGGACTTCTTTGAGCCCTTCGTTGGAAACGGGATTTCTCCATATACTGCTAGACCGAAGCATTTGCAGTAACTACTTTGTGTTGTGTGTATTCAACTCACAGATTTGAACCTTTCTTTAGACAGAGCAGATTTGAAACGCTCTTTTCGTGGCTTTTGCATGTGGAGTTTTCAAACGATTTGAGGCCAATGGTAGAAAAGGAAATATCTTCGTATAAAAATTAGAGAGAATCATTCTCAGAAATT
Source organism: Homo sapiens (assembly GCF_000001405.40). Classification (NCBI taxonomy): domain Eukaryota; kingdom Metazoa; phylum Chordata; class Mammalia; order Primates; family Hominidae; genus Homo; species Homo sapiens. Next base: position 39,739,545 of record NC_000010.11, read on the forward strand.
ACTTTCTGATGTGTGCGTGCAACTCACGGAGATTAACCTTTCTTTTCATAGAGCAGTTTGGAAAGACTCTGTCTGTAAGGTCTGCAAGTGGATATTTAGATTTCTGGGAGGCCTTCGTTGCAAACGGGATTTCTTCATATACTCACAGACAGAAGAATTCTCAGTAACTCTTTGTGTTGTGTGCATTCAACTCACGGAGTTGAACCTTCCTTTATTCAGAGCAGTTTTGAAACACTCTTTTTGTGGAATTTGCAAGTGGAGATTTCAAGGGATTTGAGGCCAATCTTAGAAATGGAAATATCTTCGAATTAAAACTACACAGAATCGTTCACAGAAACTAGTTTGTGATGTGTGCGTTCAACTCACAGAGTTTAACGTTTCTTTTCATAGAGCAGTTTGGAAACGCTCTCTTTGTAAAGTCTCCAAGTGGATATTTGGAGCTGTTTGAGCCCTTCGTTGGAAACGGGACTTCTTCATATAATGCTAGACAGAAGAATACTCAGTAACTTCTTTGTGCTGTGTGTATTCAACTCACAGAGTTGAAGTTTTCTTTAGACAGAGCAGATTTGATACTCTCTTTTCGTGGCTTTTGCCAGAGGAGATTTCAAGTCATTGGAGGCCAATGGTAGAAAAGAAAATATCTTCGTATAATAACTAAACAGTATCATTCTCAGAAACTTCTTTGTGATGTGTGCGTTCAAGTCACAGAGTTTAACCTTTCTTTTCATAGAGCAGGTTGGAAGCACTCTCTTTGTAAAGTCTGCAAGCAGATATTTGGACCTTTTTGAGGCCTTCGTTGGAAACGGGATTTTTTCATATACTGCTAGACCGAAGAATTCTCAGTAACTTCTTTGGGTTGTGTGTATTCAATTCACAGAGTTGAACCTTTCTTTAGACCGAGCAGATTTGAAACTCTCCTTTCGTTGCTTTTGCAAGTGGAGATTTCAAGCGATTTGAGGCCAATTGTAGAAAAGGAAATATCTTCGTATAAAAACTAGACAGAACAATTCTCAGAAACTGCTCTGTGATTTGTGCGTTCAACTCACAGATTTTAAACTTTCTTTTCATAGAGCAGTTTGGAAACACTCTTTTTGTAAAGTCTGCAAGCGGATATTTGGACCTCTTTCAGGCCTTCTTTGGAAACGGGATTTCTCCATATACTGCTAGCCCGAAGCATTTTCAGTAACTACTTTGTGTTGTGTGTATTCAACTCACAGATTTGAACCTTTCTTTAGACAGAGCAGATTTGATACGCTCTTTTCGTGGCTTTTGCAAGTAAAGATTTCAAGCGATTTGAGGCCAATGGTAGAAAAGGAAATATCTTCGTATAAAAACTAGACAGAATCATTCTCAGAATCTACTTTGTGATGTGTGCGTGCAACTCACGGAGATTAACCTTTCTTTTCATAGAGAAGTTTGGAAACACTCTGTCTGTAAGGTCTGCAAGTGGATATTTAGATTTCTGTGAGGCCTTCGTTGCAAACGGGATTTCTTCATATACTCACAGACAGAAGAATTCTCAGTTACTACTTTCTGTTGTGTGCATTCAACTCAAAGAGTTGAACCTTCCTTTATTCAGAGCAGTTTTGAAACACTCTTTTTGTGGAATTTGCAAGTGGAGATTTCAAGGGATTTGAGGCCAATCTTAGAAATGGAAATATCATCGAATTAAAACTACACAGAATCATTCGCAGAAACTAGTTTGTGATGTGTGCGTTCAACTCACAGAGTTTAACGTTTCTTTTCATAGAGCAGTTTGGAAACGCTGTCTTTGTAAAGTCTGCAAGTGGATATTAGGACCTCTTTGAGGCCTTCGTTGGAAACGGGATTTCCTCCTATAATGCTAGACAGAAGAATTCCCAGTCACTTCTTTGTGTTGTGTCCATTCAACTCAGAGATTTGAACCTTCCTTTAGAGAGAGCACATTTAAAACACTCTTTTTGTGTAATTTGCTAGTGCAGATTTCAAGCTCTTCGAGGACAATGGTAGGAAAGGAAATATCTTCGTATTAAAACTAGACAAAATCATTCTCAGAAACTACTTCGTGATGTGTGCGTTCCACTCACAGAGTTTAACCTTTCTTTTAATTGAGCAGTTTGGAAACACTCTCTTTGTAAAGCCTGCAGTAGGATATTTGGACCTCTTTGAGGCCTTCGTTGGAAACGGGATTTCTTCATATAATGCTAGATAGAAGAATTCTCAGTAACTTGCTTGTGTTGTGTGTATTCAACTAACAGAGTTGAACCTTCCTTTAGAAAGAGCAGTTTTCAAACACTCTGTTTGTGCAATTTCCAATGGAGATTTCTAGGGATTTGAGGCCAGTCTTAGAAATGGAAATATCTTTGTATAAAAACTAGACAGTGTCATTCTGAGATACTACCTTGTGATGTGTGCGTTCAACTCACAGAGTTTAACCTTTCTTTTCATAGAGCAGTTTGGAAACACTCTATTTGTAAAGTCTGCAAGTGGATATTTGGACCTCTTTGAGGCCTTCGTTGGAAACGGGATTTCTTCCTATAATGCTAGACAGAAGTATTCTCAGTCACTTCTTTGTGTTGTGTGCATTCAACTCAGAGATTTGAACCTTCCTTTAGAGAGAGCATATTTGAAACACTCTTTTTGTGTAATTTGCTAGTGCAGATTTCAAGCTCTTCGAGGACAATGGTAGAAAAGGAAATATCTTCGTATGAAAACTAGACAAACTCATTCTCAGAAACTACTTTGTGATGTGTGCGTTCCACTCACAGAGTTTAACCTTTCTTTTAATTGAGCAGTTTGGAAACACTATTTTTGTAAAGTCTGCAAGTGGATATTTGGACTTCTTTGAGCCCTTCGTTGGAAACGGGATTTCTCCATATACTGCTAGACCGAAGCATTTTCAGTAACTACTTTGTGTTGTGTGTATTCAACTCACAGATTTGAACCTTTCTTTAGACAGAGCAGATTTGAAACGCTCTTTTCGTGGCTTTTGCATGTGGAGGTTTCAAACGATTTGAGGCCAATGGTAGAAAAGGAAATATCTTCGTACAAAAACTAGAGAGAATCATTCTCAGAATTTACTTTCTGATGTGTGCGTGCAACTCACGGAGATTAACCTTTCTTTTCATAGAGCAGTTTGGAAAGACTCTGTCTGTAAGGTCTGCAAGTGGATATTTAGATTTCTGTGAGGCCTTCGTTGCAAACGGGATTACTTCATATACTCACAGACAGAAGAATTCTCAGTAACTCTTTGTGTTGTGTGCATTCAACTCACGGAGTTGAACCTTCCTTTATTCAGAGCAGTTTTGAAACACTCTTTTTGTGGAATTTGCAAGTGGAGATTTCAAGGGATTTGAGGCCAATCTTAGAATTGTAAATATCTTCGAATTAAAACTACACAGAATCGTTCGCAGAAACTAGTTTGTGATGTGTGCGTTCAACTCACAGAGTTTAACGTTTCTTTTCATAGAGCAGTTTGGAAACGCTCTCTTTGTAAAGTCTCCAAGAGGATATTTGGAGCTCTTTGAGCCCTTCGTTGGAAACGGGACTTCTTCATATAATGCTAGACAGAAGAATACTCAGTAACTTCTTTGTGCTGTGTGTATTCAACTCACAGAGTTGAAATTTTCTTTAGACAGAGCAGATTTGATACTCTCTTTTCGTGGGTTTTGCCAGAGGAGATTTCAAGTCATTGGAGGCCAATGGTAGAAAAGAAAATATCTTCGTATAATAACTAAACAGAATCGTTCTCAGAAACTTCTTTGTGATGTGTGCGTTCAACTCACAGAGTTTAACCTTTCTTTTCATAGAGCAGGTTGGAAGCACTCTCTTTGTAAAGTCTGCAAGCAGATATTTGGACCTTTTTGAGGCCTTCGTTGGAAACGGGATTTCTTCATATACTGCTAGACCGAAGAATTCTCAGTAACTTCTTTGGGTTGTGTGTATTCAATTCACAGAGTTGAACCTTTCTTTAGACCGAGCAGATTTGAAACTCTCCTTTCGTTGCTTTTGCAAGTGGAGATTTCAAGCGATTTGAGGCTAATTGTAGAAAAGGAAATATCTTCGTATAAAAACTAGACAGAACAATTCTCAGAAACTGCTCTGTGATTTGTGCGTTCAACTCACAGATTTTAAACTTTCTTTTCATAGAGCAGTTTGGAAACACTCTTTTTGTAAAGTCTGCAAGCGGATATTTGGACCTCTTTCAGGCCTTCTTTGCAAACGGGATTTCTCCATATACTGCTAGCCCGAAGAATTTTCAGTAACTACTTTGTGTTGTGTGTATTCAACTCACAGATTTGAACCTTTCTTTAGACAGAGCAGATTTGAAACGCTCTTTTCGTGGCTTTTGCAAGTAAAGATTTCAAGCGATTTGAGGCCAATGGTAGAAAAGGAAATATCTTCGTATAAAAACTAGACAGAATCATTCTCAGAATCTACTTTGTGATGTGTGCGTGCAACTCACGGAGATTAACCTTTCTTTTCATAGAGAAGTTTGGAAACACTCTGTCTGTAAGGTTTGCAAGTGGATATTTAGATTTCTGTGAGGCCTTCGTTGCAAACGGGATTTCTTCATATACTATCCGACAGAAGAATTCTCAGTTACTACTTTCTGTTGTGTGCATTCAACTCACAGAGTTGAACCTTCCTTTATTCAGAGCAGTTTTGAAACACTCTTTTTGTGGAATTTGCAAGTGGAGATTTCAAGGGATTTGAGGCCAATGTTAGAAATGGAAATATCTTCGAATTAAAACTACACAGAATCATTCGCAGAAACAAGTTTGTGATGTGTGCGTTCAACTCACAGAGTTTAACGTTTCTTTTCATAGAGCAGTTTGGAAACGCTGTCTTTGTAAAGTCTGCAAGTGGATATTAGGACCTCTTTGAGGCCTTCGTTGGAAACGGTATTTCCTCTTATAATGCTGGACAGAAGAATTCCCAGTCACTTCTTTGTGTTGTGTGCATTCAACTCAGAGATTTGAACCTTCCTTTAGAGAGAGCACATTTAAAACACTCTTTTTGTGTAATTTGCTAGTGCAGATTTCAAGCTCTTCGAGGACAATGGTAGGAAAGGAAATATCTTCGTATTAAAACTAGACAAAATCATTCTCAGAAACTACTTTGTGATGTGTGCGTTCCACTCACAGAGTTTAACCTTTCTTTTAATTGAGCAGTTTGGAAACACTCTCTTTGTAAAGTCTGCAGTAGGATATTTGGACCTCTTTGAGGCCTTCGTTGGAAACGGGATTTCTTCATATAATGCTAGATAGAAGAATTCTCAGTAACTTGTTTGTGTTGTGTGTATTCAACTAACAGAGTTGAACCTTCCTTTAGAAAGAGCAGTTTTCAAACACTGTGTTTGTGCAATTTCCAATGGAGATTTCTAGGGATTTGAGGCCAGTCTTAGAAATGGAAATATCTTTGTATAAAAACTAGACAGTGTCATTCTGAGATACTACCTTGTGATGTGTGCGTTCAACTCACAGAGTTTAACCTTTCTTTTCATAGAGCAGTTTGGAAACACTCTATTTGTAAAGTCTGCAAGTGGATATTTGGACCTCTTTGAGGCCTTCGTTGGAAACGGGATTTCTTCCTATAATGCTAGACAGAAGTATTCTCAGTCACTTCTTTGTGTTGTGTGCATTCAACTCAGAGATTTGAACCTTCCTTTAGAGAGAGCACATTTGAAACACTCTATTTGTGTAATTTGCTAGTACAGATTTCAAGCTCTTCGAGGACAATGGTAGAAAAGGAAATATCTTCGTATGAAAACTAGACAAACTCATTCTCAGAAACTACTTTGTGATGTGTGCGTTCCACTCACAGAGTTTAACCTTTCTTTTAATTGAGCAGTTTGGAAACACTATTTTTGTAAAGTCTGCAAGTGGATATTTGGACTTCTTTGAGCCCTTCGTTGGAAACGGGATTTCTCCATATACTGCTAGACCGAAGCATTTTCAGTAACTACTTTGTGTTGTGTGTATTCAACTCACAGATTTGAACCTTTCTTTAGACAGAGCAGATTTGAAACGCTCTTCTCGTGGCTTTTGCATGTGGAGGTTTCAAACGATTTGAGGCCAATGGTAGAAAAGGAAATATCTTCGTATAAAAACTAGAGAGAATCATTCTCAGAAATTACTTTGTGATGTGTGCGTGCAACTCACGGAGATTAACCTTTCTTTTCATAGAGCAGTTTGGAAAGACTCTGTCTGTAAGGTCTGCAAGTGGATATTTAGATTTCTGTGAGGCCTTCGTTGCAAACGGGATTTCTTCATATACTCACAGACAGAAAGAATTCTCAGTAACTCTTTGTGTTGTGTGCATTCAACTCACGGAGTTGAACCTTCCTTTATTCAGAGCAGTTTTGAAACACTCTTTTTGTGGAATTTGCCAGTGGAGATTTCAAGGGATTTGAGGCCAATCTTAGAAATGGAAATATCTTCGAATTAAAACTACACAGAATCGTTCGCAGAAACTAGTTTGTGATGTGTGCGTTCAACTCACAGAGTTTAACGTTTCTTTTCATGGAGCAGTTTGGAAACGCTCTCTTTGTAAAGTCTCCAAGTGGATATTTGGAGCTGTTTGAGCCCTTCGTTGGAAACGGGACTTCTTCATATAATGCTAGACAGAAGAATACTCAGTAACTTCTTTGTGCTGTGTGTATTCAACTCACAGAGTTGAACTTTTCTTTAGACAGAGCAGATTTGATACTCTCTTTTCGTGGCTTTTGCCAGAGGAGATTTCAAGCGATTTGAGGCCAATTGTAGAAAAGGAAATATCTTCGTATAAAAACTAAACAGAATCATTCTCAGAAACTTCTTTGTGATGTGTGCGTTCAACTCACAGAGTTTAACCTTTCTTTTCATAGAGCAGGTTGGAAGCACTCTCTTTGTAAAGTCTGCAAGCAGATATTTGGACCTTTTTGAGGCCTTCGTTGGAAACGGGATTTCTTCATATACTGCTAGACCGAAGCATTTTCAGTAACTACTTTGTGTTGTGTGTATTCAATTCACAGATTTGAACCTTTCTTTAGACCGAGCAGATTTGAAACTCTCCTTTTGTTGCTTTTGCAAGTGGAGATTTCAAGCGATTTGAGGCCAATTGTAGAAAAGGAAATATCTTCGTATAAAAACTAGACAGAACAGTTCTCAGAAACTGCTCTGTGATTTGTGCGTTCAACTCACAGATTTTAAACTTTCTTTTCATAGAGCAGTTTGGAAACACTCTTTTTGTAAAGTCTGCAAGCGGATATTTGGACCTCTTTCAGGCCTTGCTTTGGAAACGGGATTTCTCCATATACTGCTAGCCCGAAGAATTTTCAGTAACTACTTTGTGTTGTGTGTATTCAACTCACAGATTTGAACCTTTCTTTAGACAGAGCAGATTTGAAACGCTCTTTTCGTGGCTTTTGCAAGTAAAGATTTCAAGCGATTTGAGGCCAATGGTAGAAAAGGAAATATACTTCGTATAAAAACTAGACAGAATCATTCTCAGAATCTACTTTGTGAGTGTGCGTGCAACTCACGGAGATTAACCTTTCTTTTCATAGAGAAGTTTGGAAACACTCTGTCTGTAAGGTCTGCAAGTGGATATTTAGATTTCTGTGAGGCCTTCGTTGCAAACGGGATTTCTTCATATACTGCCCGACAGAAGAATTCTCAGTTACTACTTTCAGTTGTGTGCATTCAACTCACAGAGTTGAACCTTCCTTTATTCAGAGCAGTTTTGAAACACTCTTTTTGTGGAATTTGCAAGTGGAGATTTCAAGGGATTTGAGGCCAATCTTAGAAATGGAAATATCTTTGAATTAAAACTACACAGAATCATTCGCAGAAACTAGTTTGTGATGTGTGCGTTCAACTCACAGAGTCTAACGTTTCTTTTCATAGAGCAGTTTGGAAACGCTGTCTTTGTAAAGTCTGCAAGTGGATATTAGGACCTCTTTGAGGCCTTCGTTTGAAACGGGATTTCCTCCTATAATGCTAGACAGAAGAATTCCCAGTCACTTCTTTGTGTTGTGTGCATTCAACTCAGAGATTTGAACCTTCCCTTACAGAGAGCACATTTAAAACACTCTTTTTGTGTAATTTGCTAGTGCAGATTTCAAGCTCTTCGAGGACAATGGTAAGAAAGGAAATATCTTCGTATTAAAACTAGACAAAATCATTCTCAGAAACTACTTTGTGATGTGTGCGTTCCACTCACAGAGTTTAACCTTTCTTTTAATTGAGCAGTTTGGAAACACTCTCTTTGTAAAGTCTGCAGTAGGATATTTGGACCTCTTTGAGGCCTTCGTTGGAAACGGGATTTCTTCATATAATGCTAGATAGAAGAATTCTCAGTAACTTGTTTGTGTTGTGTGTATTCAACTAACAGAGTTGAACCTTCCTTTAGAAAGAGCAGTTTTCAAACACTCTGTTTGTGCAATTTCCAATGGAGATTTCTAGGGATTTGAGGCCAGTCTTAGAAATGGAAATATCTTTGTATAAAAACTAGACAGTGTCATTCTGAGATACTACCTTGTGATGTGTGTGTTCAACTCACAGAGTTTAACCTTTCTTTTCATAGAGCAGTTTGGAAACACTCTATTTGTAAAGTCTGCAAGTGGATATTTGGACCTCTTTGAGGCCTTCTTTGGAAACGGGATTTCTTCCTGTAATGCTAGACAGCAGTATTCTCAGTCACTTCTTTGTGTTGTGTGCATTCAACTCAGAGATTTGAACCTTCCTTTAGAGAGAGCACATTTGAAACACTCTTTTTGTGTAATTTGCTAGTGCAGATTTCAAGCTCTTCGAGGACAATGGTAGAAAAGGAAATATCTTCGTATGAAAACTAGACAAACTCATTCTCAGAAACTACTTGGTGATGTGTGCGTTCCACTCACAGAGTTTAACCTTTCTTTTAATTGAGCAGTTTGGAAACACTATTTTTGTAAAGTCTGCAAGTGGATATTTGGACTTCTTTGAGCCCTTCGTTGGAAACGGGATTTCTCCATATACTGCTAGACCGAAGCATTTTCAGTAACTACTTTGTGTTGTGTGTATTCAACTCACAGATTTGAACCTTTCTTTAGACAGAGCAGATTTGAAACGCTCTTTTCGTGGCTTTTGCATGTGGAGGTTTCAAACGATTTGAGGCCAATGGTAGAAAAGGAAATATCTTCGTATAAAAACTAGAGAGAATCATTCTCAGAAATTACTTTCTGATGTGTGCGTGCAACTCACGGAGATTAACCTTTCTTTTCATAGAGCAGTTTGGAAAGACTCTGTCTGTAAGGTCTGCAAGTGGATATTTAGATTTCTGTGAGGCCTTCGTTGCAAATGGGATTTCTTCATATACACACAGACAGAAGAATTCTCAGTAACTCTTTGTGTTGTGTGCATTCAACTCACGGAGTTGAACCTTCCTTTATTCAGAGCAGTTTTGAAACACTCTTTTTGTGGAATTTGCAAGTGGAGATTTCAAGGGATTTGAGGCCAATCTTAGAAATGGAAATATCTTCGAATTAAAACTACACAGAATCGTTCGCAGAAACTAGTTTGTGATGCGTGCGTTCAACTCAAAGAGTTTAACGTTTCTTTTCATAGAGCAGTTTGGAAACGCTCTCTTTGTAAAGTCTCCAAGTGGATATTTGGAGCTGTTTGAGCCCTTCGTTGGAAACGGGACTTCTTCATATAATGCTAGACAGAAGAATACTCAGTAACTTCTTTGTGCTGTGTGTATTCAACTCACAGAGTTGAACTTTTCTTTAGACAGGGCAGATTTGATACTCTCTTTTCGTGGCTTTTGCCAGAGGAGATTTCAAGTCATTGGAGGCCAATGGTAGAAAAGAAAATATCTTCGTATAATAACTAAACAGAATCATTCTCAGAAACTTCGTTGTGATGTGTGCGTTCAACTCACAGAGTTTAACCTTTCTTTTCATAGAGCAGGTTGGAAGCACTCTCTTTGTAAAGTCTGCAAGCAGATATTTGGACCTTTTTGAGGCCTTCGTTGGAAACGGGATTTCTTCATATACTGCTAGACCGAAGAATTCTCAGTAACATCTTTGGGTTGTGTGTATTCAATTCACAGAGTTGAACCTTTCTTTAGACCGAGCAGATTTGAAACTCTCCTTTCGTTGCTTTTGCAAGTGGAGATTTCAGGCGATTTGAGGCCAATTGTAGAAAAGGAAATATCTTCGTATAAAAACTAGACAGAACAATTCTCAGAAACTGCTCTGTGATTTGTGCGTTGAACTCACAGATTTTAAACTTTCTTTTCATAGAGCAGTTTGGAAACACTCTTTTTGTAAAGTCTGCAAGCGGATATTTGGACCTCTTTCAGGCCTTCTTTGGAAACGGGATTTCTCCATATACTGCTAGCCCGAAGAATTTTCAGTAACTACTTTGTGTTGTGTGTATTCAACTCACAGATTTGAACCTTTCTTTAGACAGAGCAGATTTGAAACGCTCTTTTCGTGGCTTTTGCAAGTAAAGATTTGAAGCGATTTGAGGCCAATGGTAGAAAAGGAAATATCTTCGTATAAAAACTAGACAGAATCATTCTCAGAATCTACTTTGTGATGTGTGCGTGCAACTCACGGAGATTAACCTTTCTTTTCATAGAGAAGTTTGGAAACACTCTGTCTGTAAGGTCTGCAGGTGGATATTTAGATTTCTGTGAGGCCTTCGTTGCAAACGGGATTTCTTCATATACTGCCCGACAGAAGAATTCTCAGTTACTACTTTCTGTTGTGTGCATTCAACTCACAGAGTTGAATCTTCCTTTATTCAGAGCAGTTTTGAAACACTCTTTTTGTGGAATTTGCAAGTGGAGATTTCAAGGGATTTGAGGCCAATCTTAGAAATGTAAATATCTTCGAATTAAAACTACACAGAATCATTCGCAGAAACTAGTTTGTGATGTGTGTGTTCAACTCACAGAGTTTAACGTTTCTTTTCATAGAGCAGTTTGGAAACGCTGTCTTTGTAAAGTCTGCAAGTGGATATTAGGACCTCTTTGAGGCCTTCGTTGGAAACGGGATTTCCTCCTATAATGCTGGACAGAAGAATTCCCAGTCACTTCTTTGTGTTGTGTGCATTCAACTCAGAGATTTGAACCTTCCTTTAGAGAGAGCACATTTAAAACACTCTTTTTGTGTAATTTGCTAGTGCAGATTTCAAGGTCTTCGAGGACAATGGTAGAAAAGGAAATATCTTCGTATGAAAACTAGACAAAATCATTCTCAGAAACTACTTTGTGATGTGTGCGTTCCACTCACAGAGTTTAACCTTTCTTTTAATTGAGCAGTTTGGAAACACTCTCTTTGTAAAGTCTGCAGTAGGATATTTGGACCTCTTTGAGGCCTTCGTTGGAAACGGGATTTCTTCATATAATGCTAGATAGAAGAATTCTCAGTAACTTGTTTGTGTTGTGTGTATTCAACTAACAGAGTTGAACCTTCCTTTAGAAAGAGCAGTTTTCAAACACTCTGTTTGTGCAATTTCCAATGGAGATTTCTAGGGATTTGAGGTCAGTCTTAGAAATGGAAATATCTTTGTATAAAAAGTAGACAGTGTCATTCTGAGATACTACCTTGTGATGTGTGCGTTCAACTCACAGAGTTTAACCTTTCTTTTCATAGAGCATGTTGGAAACACTCTATTTGTAAAGTCTGCAAGTGGATATTTGGACCTCTTTGAGGCCTTCTTTGGAAACGCGATTTCTTCCTGTAATGCTAGACAGCAGTATTCTCAGTCACTTCTTTGTGTTGTGTGCATTCAACTCAGAGATTTGAACCTTCCTTTAGAGAGAGCACATTTGAAACACTCTTTTTGTGTAATTTGCTAGTGCAGATTTCAAGCTCTTCGAGGACAATGGTAGAAAAGGAAATATCTTCGTATGAAAACTAGACAAACTCATTCTCAGAAACTACTTTGTGATGTGTGCGTTCCACTCACGGAGTTTAACCTTTCTTTTAATTGAGCAGTTTGGAAACACTATTTTTGTAAAGTCTGCAAGTGGATATTTGGACTTCTTTGAGCCCTTCGTTGGAAACGGGATTTCTCCATATACTGCTAGACCGAAGCATTTTCAGTAACTACTTTGTGTTGTGTGTATTCAACTCACAGATTTGAACCTTTCTTTAGAGAGCAGATTTCAAACGCTCTTTTCGTGGCTTTTGCATGTGGAGGTTTCAAACGATTTGAGGCCAATGGTAGAAAAGGAAATATCTTCGTATAAAAACTAGAGAGAATCATTCTCAGAAATTACTTTGTGATGTGTGCGTGCAACTCACGGAGATTAACCTTTCTTTTCATAGAGCAGTTTGGAAAGACTCTGTCTGTAAGGTCTGCAAGTGGATATTTAGATTTCTGTGAGGCCTTCGTTGCAAACGGGATTTCTTCATATACTCACAGACAGAAGAATTCTCAGTAACTATTTGTGTTGTGTGCATTCACCTCACGGAGTTGAACCTTCCTTTATTCGGAGCAGTTTTGAAACACTCTTTTTGTGGAATTTGCAAGTGGAGATTTCAAGGGATTTGAGGCCAATCTTAGAAATGGAAATATCTTCGAATTAAAACTACACAGAATCGTTCGCAGAAACTAGTTTGTGATGTGTGCGTTCAACTCACAGAGTTTAACGTTTCTTTTCATAGAGCAGTTTGGAAACGCTCTCTTTGTAAAGTCTCCAAGTGGATATTTGGAGCTGTTTGAGCCCTTCGTTGGAAACGGGACTTCTTCATATAATGCTAGACAGAAGAATACTCAGTAACTTCTTTGTGCTGTGTGTATTCAACTCACAGAGTTGAACTTTTCTTTAGACAGAGCAGATTTGATACTCTCTTTTCATGGGTTTTGCCAGAGGAGATTTCAAGTCATTGGAGGCCAATGGTAGAAAAGAAAATATCTTCGTATAATAACTAAACAGAATCATTCTCAGAAACTTCTTTGTGATGTGTGCGTTCAACTCACAGAGTTTAACCTTTCTTTTCATAGAGCAGGTTGGAAGCACTCTCTTTGTAAAGTCTGGAAGCAGATATTTGGACCTTTTTGAGGCCTTCGTTGGAAACGGGATTTCTTCATATACTGCTAGACCGAAGAATTCTCAGTAACTTCTTTGGGTTGTGTGTATTCAATTCACAGAGTTGAACCTTTCTTTAGACCGAGCAGATTTGAAACTCTCCTTTCGTTGCTTTTGGAAGTGGAGATTTCAAGCGATTTGAGGCCAATTGTAGAAAAGGAAATATCTTCGTATAAAAACTAGACAGAACAATTCTCAGAAACTGCTCTGTGATTTGTGCGTTCAACTCACAGATTTTAAACTTGCTTTTCATAGAGCAGTTTGGAAACACTCTTTTTGTAAAGTCTGCAAGCGGATATTTTGACCTCTTTCAGGCCTTCTTTGGAAACGGGATTTCTCCATATGCAGCAAGCCCGAAGAATTTTCAGTAACTACTTTGTGTTGTGTGTATTCAACTCACAGATTTGAACCTTTCTTTAGACAGAGCAGATTTGAAACGCTCTTTTCGTGGCTTTTGCAAGTAAAGATTTCAAGCGATTTGAGGCCAATGGTAGAAAAGGAAATATCTTCGTATAAAAACTAGACAGAATCATTCTCAGAATCTACTTTGTGATGTGTGCGTGCAACTCACGGAGATTAACCGTTCTTTTCATAGAGAAGTTTGGAAACACTCTGTCTGTAAGTTCTGCAAGTGGATATTTAGATTTCTGTCAGGCCTTCGTTGCAAACGGGATTTCTTCATATACTGCCCGACAGAAGAATTCTCAGTTACTACTTTCAGTTGTGTGCATTCAACTCACAGAGTTCAACCTTCCTTTATTCAGAGCAGTTTTGAAACACTCTTTTTGTGGAATTTGCAAGTGGAGATTTCAAGGGATTTGAGGCCAATGTTAGAAATGGAAATATCTTCGAATTAAAACTACACAGAATCATTCGCAGAAACTAGTTTGTGATGTGTGCGTTCAACTCACAGAGTTTAACGTTTCTTTTCATAGAGCAGTTTGGAAACGCTGTCTTTGTAAAGTCTGCAAGTGGATATTAGGACCTCTTTGAGGCCTTCGTTGGAAACGGGATTTCCTCCTATAATGCTAGACAGAAGAATTCCCAGTCACTTCTTTGTGTTGTGTGCATTCAACTCAGAGATTTGAACCTTCCTTTAGAGAGAGCACATTTGAAACACTCTTTTTGTGTAATTTGCTAGTGCAGATTTCAAGCTCTTCGAGGACAATGGTAGGAAAGGAAATATCTTCGTATTAAAACTAGACAAAATCATTCTCAGAAACTAATTTGTGATGTGTGCGTTCCACTCACAGACTTTAACCTTTCTTTTAATTGAGCAGTTTGGAAACACTCTCTTTGTAAAGTCTGCAGTAGGATATTTGGACCTCTTTGAGGCCTTCGTTGGAAACGGGATTTCTTCATATAATGCTAGATAGAAGAATTCTCAGTAACTTGTTTGTGTTGTTTGTATTCAACTAACAGAGTTGAACCTTCCTTTAGAAAGAGCAGTTTTCAAACACTCTGTTTGTGCAATTTCCAATGGAGATTTCTAGGGATTTGAGGCCAGTCTTAGAAATGGAAATATCTTTGTATAAAAACTAGACAGTGTCATTCTGAGATACTACCTTGTGATGTGTGCGTTCAACTCACAGAGCTTAACCTTACTATTCATAGAGCAGTTTGGAAACACTCTATTTGTAAAGTCTGCAAGTGGATATTTGGACCTCTTTGAGGCCTTCGTTGGAAACGGGATTTCTTCCTATAATGCTAGACAGAAGTATTCTCAGTCACTTCTTTGTGTTGTGTGCATTCAACTCAGAGATTTGAACCTTCCTTTAGAGAGAGCACATTTGAAACACTCTTTTTGTGTATTTTGCTAGTGCAGATTTCAAGCTCTTCGAGGACAATGGTAGAAAAGGCAATATCTTCGTATGAAAACTAGACAAACTCATTCTCAGAAACTACTTTGTGATGTGTGCATTCCACTCACAGAGTTTAACCTTTCTTTTAATTGAGCAGTTTGGAAACACTATTTTTGTAAAGTCTGCAAGTGGATATTTGGACTTCTTTGAGCCCTTCGTTGGAAACGGGATTTCTCCATATACTGCTAGACCGAAGCATTTTCAGTAACTACTTTGTGTTGTGTGTATTCAACTCACAGATTTGAACCTTTCTTTAGACAGAGCAGATTTGAAACGCTCTTTTCGTGGCTTTTGCATGTGGAGGTTTCAAACGATTTGAGGACAATGGTAGAAAAGGAAATATCTTCGTATAAAAACTAGAGAGAATCATTCTCAGAAATAACTTTCTGATGTGTGCGTGCAACTCACGGAGATTAACCTTTCTTTTCATACAGCAGTTTGGAAAGACTCTGTCTGTAAGGTCTGCAAGTGGATATTTAGATTTCTGTGAGGCCTTCGTTGCAAACGGGATTTCTTCATATACTCACAGACAGAAGAATTCTCAGTAACTTCTTTGTGTTCTGTGTATTCAACTCACAGAGTTAAACCTTCCTTTATTCGGAGCAGTTTTGAAACACTCTTTTTGTGGAATTTGCAGGTGGAGATTTCAAGCGATTTGAGGGCAATCTTAGAAATGGAAATATCTTCGAATTAATACTACACAGAATCGTTCGCAGAAACTAGTTTGTGATGTGTGCGTTCAACTCACAGTAGTTTAACGTTTCTTTTCATAGAGCAGTTTGGAAACGCTCTCTTTGTAAAGTCTCCAAGTGGATATTTGGAGCTGTTTGAGCCCTTCGTTGGAAACGGGACTTCTTCATATAATGCTAGACAGAAGAGTACTCAGTAACTTCTTTGTGCTGTGTGTATTCAACTCACAGAGTTGAACTTTTCTTTAGACAGAGCAGATTTGATACTCTCTTTTCGTGGCTTTTGCCAGAGGAGATTTCAAGTCATTGGAGGTCAATGGTAGAAAAGAAAATATCTTCGTATAGTAACTAAACAGAATCGTTCTCAGAAACTTCTTTGTGATGTGTGCGTTCAACTCACAGAGTTTAACCTTTCTTTTCATAGAGCAGGTTGGAAGCACTCTCTTTGTAAAGTCTGCAAGCAGATATTTGGACCTTTTTGAGGCCTTCGTTGGAAACGGGATTTCTTCATATACTGCTAGACCGAAGAATTCTCAGTAACTTCTTTGGGTTGTGTGTATTCAATTCACAGAGTTGAACCTTTCTTTAGACCGAGCAGATTTGAAACTCTCCTTTCGTTGCTTTTGCAAGTGGAGATTTCAAGCGATTTGAGGCTAATTGTAGAAAAGGAAATATCTTCGTATAAAAACTAGACAGAACAATTCTCAGAAACTGCTCTGTGATTTGTGCGTTCAACTCACAGATTTTAAACTTTCTTTTCATAGAGCAGTTTGGAAACACTCTTTTTGTAAAGTCTGCAAGCGGATATTTGGACCTCTTTCAGGCCTTCTTTGGAAACGGGATTTCTCCATATACTGCTAGCCCGAAGCATTTTCAGTAACTACTTTGTGTTGTGTGTATTCAACTCACAGATTTGAACCTTTCTTTAGACAGAGCAGATTTGAAACGCTCTTTTCGTGGCTTTTGCAAGTAAAGATTTCAAGCGATTTGAGGCCAATGGTAGAAAAGGAAATATCTTCGTATAAAAACTAGACAGAATCATTCTCAGAATCTACTTTGTGATGTGTGCGTGCAACTCACGGAGATTAACCTTTCTTTTCATAGAGAAGTTTGGAAACACTCTGTCTGTAAGGTTTGCAAGTGGATATTTAGATTTCTGTGAGGCCTTCGTTGCAAACGGGATTTCTTCATATACTGTCCGACAGAAGAATTCTCAGTTACTACTTTCAGTTGTGTGCATTCAACTTACAGAGTCGAACCTTCCTTTATTCAGAGCAGTTTTGAAACACTCTTTTTGTGGAATTTGCAAGTGGAGATTTCAAGGGATTTGAGGCCAATCTTAGAAATGGAAATATCTTCGAATTAAAACTACACAGAATCATTCGCAGAAACTAGTTTGTGATGTGTGCGTTCAACTCACAGAGTCTAACGTTTCTTTTCATAGAGCAGTTTGGAAACGCTGTCTTTGTAAAGTCTGCAAGTGGATATTAGGACCTCTTTGAGGCATTCGTTGGAAACGGGATTTCCTCCTATAATGCTAGACAGAAGAATTCCCAGTCACTTCTTTGTGTTGTGTGCATTCAACTCAGAGATTTGAACCTTCCTTTAGAGAGAGCACATTTAAAACTCTCTTTTTGTGTAATTTGCTAGTGCAGATTTCAAGCTCTTCGAGGACAATGGTAGGAAAGGAAATATCTTCGCATTAAAACTAGACAAAATCATTCTCAGAAACTACTTTGTGATGTGTGCGTTCCACTCACAGAGTTTAACCTTTCTTTTAATTGAGCAGTTTGGAAACACTCTCTTTGTAAAGTCTGCAGTAGGATATTTGGACCTCTTTGAGGCCTTCGTTGGAAACGGGATTTCTTCATATAATGCTAGATAGAAGAGTTCTCAGTAACTTGTTTGTGTTGTGTGTATTCAACTAACAGAGTTGAACCTTCCTTTAGAAAGAGCAGTTTTCAAACACTCTGTTTGTGCAATTTCCAATGGAGATTTCTAGGGATTTGAGGCCAGTCTTAGAAATGGAAATATCTTTGTATAAAAACTAGACAGTGTCATTCTGAGATACTACCTTGTGATGTGTGCGTTCAACTCACAGAGTTTAACCTTTCTTTTCATAGAGCAGTTTGGAAACACTCTATTTGTAAAGTCTGCAAGTGGATATTTGGACCTCTTTGAGGCCTTCGTTGGAAACGGGATTTCTTCCTATAATGCTAGACAGAAGTATTCTCAGTCACTTCTTTGTGTTGTGTGCATTCAACTCAGAGATTTGAACCTTCCTTTAGAGAGAGCACATTTGAAACACTCTATTTGTGTAATTTGCTAGTACAGATTTCAAGCTCTTTGAGGACAATGGTAGAAAAGGAAATATCTTCGTATGAAAACTAGACAAAATCATTCTCAGAAACTACTTTGTGATGTGTGCGTTCCACTCACAGAGTTTAACCTTTCTTTTAATTGAGCAGTTTGGAAACACTATTTTTGTAAAGTCTGCAAGTGGATATTTGGACTTCTTTGAGCCCTTCGTTGGAAACGGGATTTCTCCATATACTGCTAGACCGAAGCATTTTCAGTAACTACTTTGTGTTGTGTGTATTCAACTCACAGATTTGAACCTTTCTTTAGACAGAGCAGATTTGAAACGCTCTTCTCGTGGCTTTTGCATGTGGAGGTTTCAAACGATTTGAGGCCAATGGTAGAAAAGGAAATATCTTCGTATAAAAACTAGAGAGAATCATTCTCAGAAATTACTTTGTGATGTGTGCGTGCAACTCACGGAGATTAACCTTTCTTTTCATAGAGCAGCTTGGAAAGACTCTGTCTGTAAGGTCTGCAAGTGCATATTTAGATTTCTGTGAGGCCTTCGTTGCAAACGGGATTTCTTCATATACTCACAGACAGAAGAATTCTCAGTAACTATTTGTGTTGTGTGCATTCACCTCACGGAGTTGAACCTTCCTTTATTCGGAGCAGTTTTGAAACACTCTTTTTGTGGAATTTGCAAGTGGAGATTTCAAGGGATTTGAGGCCAATCTTAGAAATGGAAATATCTTCGAATTAAAACTACACAGAATCGTTCGCAGAAACTAGTTTGTGATGTGTGCGTTCAACTCACAGAGTTTAACGTTTCTTTTCATAGAGCAGTTTGGAAACGCTCTCTTTGTAAAGTCTCCAAGTGGATATTTGGAGCTCTTTGAGCCCTTCGTTGGAAACGGGACTTCTTCATATAATGCTAGACAGAAGAATACTCAGTAACTTCTTTGTGCTGTGTGTATTCAACTCACAGAGTTGAACTTTTCTTTAGACAGAGCAGATTTGATACTCTCTTTTCGTGGCTTTTGCCAGAGGAGATTTCAAGCCATTGGAGGCCAATGGTAGCAAAGAAAATATCTTCGTATAATAACTAAACAGAATCATTCTCAGAAACTTCTTTGTGATGTGTGCGTTCAACTCACAGAGTTTAACCTTTCTTTTCATAGAGCAGGTTGGAAGCACTCTCTTTGTAAAGTCTGCAAGCAGATATTTGGACCTTTTTGAGGCCTTCGTTGGAAACGGGATTTCTTCATATACTGCTAGACCGAAGAATTCTCAGTAACTTCTTTGGGTTGTGTGTATTCAATTCACAGAGTTGAACCTTTCTTTAGACCGAGCAGATTTGAAACTCTCCTTTCGTTGCTTTTGCAAGTGGAGATTTCAAGAGATTTGAGGCCAATTGTAGAAAAGGAAATATCTTCGTATAAAAACTAGACAGAACAATTCTCAGAAACTGCTCTGTGATTTGTGCGTTCAACTCACAGATTTTAAACTTTCTTTTCATAGAGCAGTTTGGAAACACTCTTTTTGTAAAGTCTGCAAGCGGATATTTAGACCTCTTTCAGGCCTTCTTTGGAAACGGGATTTCTCCATATACTGCTAGCCCGAAGCATTTTCAGTAACTACTTTGTGTTGTGTGTATTCAACTCACAGATTTGAACCTTTCTTTAGACAGAGCAGATTTGAAACGCTCTTTTCGTGGCTTTTGCAAGTAAAGATTTCAAGCGATTTGAGGCCAATGGTAGAAAAGGAAATATCTTCGTATAAAAACTAGACAGAATAATTCCCAGAATCTACTTTGTGATGTGTGCGTGCAACTCACGGAGATTAACCTTTCTTTTCATAGAGAAGTTTGGAAACACTCTGTCTGTAAGGTCTGCAAGTGGATATTTAGATTTCCTGTGAGGCCTTCGTTGCAAACGGGATTTCTTCATATACTGCCCGACAGAAGAATTCTCAGTTACTACTTTCTGTTGTGTGCATTCAACTCACAGAGTTGAATCTTCCTTTATTCAGAGCAGTTTTGAAACACTCTTTTTGTGGAATTTGCAAGTGGAGATTTCAAGGGATTTGAGGCCAGTCTTAGAAATGGAAATATCTTCGAATTAAAACTACACAGAATCATTCGCAGAAACTAGTTTGTGATGTGTGCGTTCAACTCACAGAGTTTAACGTTTCTTTTCATAGAGCAGTTTGGAAATGCTGTCTTTGTAAAGTCTGCAAGTGGATATTAGGACCTCTTTGAGGCCTTCGTTGGAAACGGGATTTCCTCCTATAATGCTAGACAGAAGAATTCCCAGTCACTTCTTTGTGTTGTGTGCATTCAACTCAGAGATTTGAACCTTCCCTTACAGAGAGCACATTTAAAACACTCTTTTTGTGTAATTTGCTAGTGCAGATTTCAAGCTCTTCGAGGACAATGGTAAGAAAGGAAATATCTTCGTATTAAAACTAGACAAAATCATTCTCAGAAACTACTTTGTGATGTGTGCGTTCCACTCACAGAGTTTCACCTTTCTTTTAATTGAGCAGTTTGGAAACACTCTCTTTGTAAAGTCTGCAGTAGGATATTTGGACCTCTTTGAGGCCTTTGTTGGAAACAGGATTTCTTCATATAATGCTAGATAGAAGAATTCTCAGTGACTTGTTTGTGTTGTGTGTATTCAACTAACAGAGTTGAACCTTCCTTTAGAAAGAGCAGTTTTCAAACACTCTGTTTGTGCAATTTCCAATGGAGATTTCTAGGGATTTGAGGCCAGTCTTAGAAATGGAATTATCTTTGTATAAAAACTAGACAGTGTCATTCTGAGACACTACCTTGTGATGTGTGCGTTCAACTCACAGAGTTTAACCTTTCTTTTCATAGAGCAGTTTGGAAACACTCTATTTGTAAAGTCTGCAAGTGGATATTTGGACCTCTTTGAGGCCTTCGTTGGAAACGCGATTTCTTCCTATAATGCTAGACAGAAGTATTCTCAGTCACTTCTTTGTGTTGTGTGTATTCAACTCAGAGATTTGAACCTTCCTTTAGAGAGAGCACATTTGAAACACTCTTTTTGTGTAATTTGCTAGTGCAGATTTCAAGCTCTTCGAGGACAATGGTAGAAAAGGCAATATCTTCGTATGAAAACTAGACAAAATCATTCTCAGAAACTACTTTGTGATGTGTGCGTTCCACTCACAGAGTTTAACCTTTCTTTTAATTGAGCAGTTTGGAAACACTATTTTTGTAAAGTCTGCAAGTGGATATTTGGACTTCTTTGAGCCCTTCATTGGAAACGGGATTTCTCCATATACTGCTAGACCGAAGCATTTTCAGTAACTACTTTGTGTTGTGTGTATTCAACTCACAGATTTAAACCTTTCTTTAGACAGAGCAGATTTGAAACGCTCTTTTCGTGGCTTTTGCATGTGGAGGTTTCAAACGATTTGAGGCCAATGGTAGAAAAGGAAATATCTTCGTATAAAAACTAGAGAGAATCATTCTCAGAAATTACTTTCTGATGTGTGCGTGCAACTCACGGAGATTAACCTTTCTTTTCATAGAGCAGTTTGGAAAGACTCTGTCTGTAAGGTCTGCAAGTGGATATTTAGATTTCTGTGAGGCCTTCGTTGCAAACGGGATTTCTTCATATACTCACAGACAGAAGAATTCTCAGTAACTCTTTGTGTTGTGTGCATTCAACTCACGGAGTTGAACCTTCCTTTATTCAGAGCAGTTTTGAAACACTCTTTTTGTGGAATTTGCAAGTGGAGATTTCAAGGGATTTGAGGCCAATCTTAGAAATGGAAATATCTTCGAATTAAAACTACACAGAATCGTTCGCAGAAACTAGTTTGTGATGTGTGCGTTCAACTCACAGAGTTTAACGTTTCTTTTCATAGAGCAGTTTGGAAACGCTCTCTTTGTAAAGTCTCCAAGTGGATATTTGGAGCTCTTTGAGCCCTTCGTTGGAAACGGGACTTCTTCATATAATGCTACACAGAAGAATACTCAGTAACTTCTTTGTGCTGTGTGTATTCAACTCACAGAGTTGAACTTTTCTTTAGACAGAGCAGATTTGATACTCTCTTTTCGTGGCTTTTGCCAGAGGAGATTTCAAGTCATTGGAGGCCAATGGTAGAAAAGAAAATATCTTCGTATAATAACTAAACAGAATCATTCTCAGAAACTTCTTTGTGATGTGTGCCGTTCAACTCACAGAGTTTAACCTTTCTTTTCATAGAGCAGGTTGGAAGCACTCTCTTTGTAAAGTCTGCAAGCAGATATTTGGACCTTTTTGAGGCCTTCGTTGGAAACGGGATTTCTTCATATACTGCTAGACCGAAGAATTCTCAGTAACTTCTTTGGGTTGTGTGTATTCAATTCACAGAGTTGAACCTTTCTTTAGACCGAGCAGATTTGAAACTCTCCTTTCGTTGCTTTTGCAAGTGGAGATTTCAAGCGATTTGAGGCCAATTGTAGAAAAGGAAATATCTTCGTATAAAAACTAGACAGAACAATTCTCAGAAACTGCTCTGTGATTTGTGCGTTGAACTCACAGATTTTAAACTTTCTTTTCATACAGCAGTTTGGAAACACTCTTTTTGTAAAGTCTGCAAGCGGATATTTGGACCTCTTTCAGGCCTTCTTTGGAAACGGGATTTCTCCATATACTGCTAGCCCGAAGCATTTTCAGTAACTATTTGTGTTGTGTGTATTCAACTCACAGATTTGAACCTTTCTTTAGACAGAGCAGATTTGAAACGCTCTTTTCGTGGCTTTTGCAAGTAAAGATTTCAAGCGATTTGAGGCCAATGGTAGAAAAGGAAATATCTTCGTATAAAAACTAGACAGAATCATTCTCAGAATCTACTTTGTGATGTGTGCGTGCAACTCACGGAGATTAACCTTTCTTTTCATAGAGAAGTTTGGAAACACTCTGTCTGTAAGGTCTGCAAGTGGATATTTAGATTTCTGTGAGGCCTTCGTTGCAAACGGGATTTCTTCATATACTGCCCGACAGAAGAATTCTCAGTTACTACTTTCAGTTGTGTGCATTCAACTCACAGAGTTGAACCTTCCTTTATTCAGAGCAGTTTTGAAACACTCTTTTTGTGGAATTTGCAAGTGGAGATTTCAAGGGATTTGAGGCCAATCTTAGAAATGGAAATATCTTCGAATTAAAACTACACAGAATCATTCGCAGAAACTAGTTTGTGATGTGTGCGTTCAACTCACAGAGTTTAACGTTTCTTTTCATAGAGCAGTTTGGAAACGCTGTCTTTGTAAAGTCTGCAAGTGGATATTAGGACCTCTTTGAGGCCTTCGTTGGAAACGGGATTTCCTCCTATAATGCTAGACAGAAGAATTCCCAGTCACTTCTTTGTGTTGTGTGCATTCAACTCAGAGATTTGAACCTTCCTTTAGAGAGAGCACATTTGAAACACTCTTTTTGTGTAATTTGCTAGTGCAGATTTCAAGCTCTTCGAGGACAATGGTAGGAAAGGAAATATCTTCGTATTAAAACTAGACAAAATCATTCTCAGAAACTACTTTGTGATGTGTGCGTTCCACTCACAGAGTTTAACCTTTCTTTTAATTGAGCAGTTTGGAAACACTCTCTTTGTAAAGCCTGTAGTAGGATATTTGGACCTCTTTGAGGCCTTCGTTGGAAACGGGATTTCTTCATATAATGCTAGATAGAAGAATTCTCAGTAACTTGTTTGTGTTGTGTGTATTCAACTAACAGAGTTGAACCTTCCTTTAGAAAGAGCAGTTTTCAAACACTCTGTTTGTGCAATTTCCAATGGAGATTTCTAGGGATTTGAGGCCAGTCTTAGAATTGGAAATATCTTTGTATAAAAACTAGACAGTGTCATTCTGAGATACTACCTTGTGATGTGTGCGTTCAACTCACAGAGTTTAACCTTTCTTTTCATAGAGCAGTTTGGAAACACTCTATTTGTAAAGTCTGCAAGTGGATATTTGGACCTCTTTGAGGCCTTCGTTGGAAACGGGATTTCTTCCTATAATGCTAGACAGAAGTATTCTCAGTCACTTTTTGTGTTGTTTGCATTCAACTCAGAGATTTGAACCTTCCTTTAGAGAGAGCACATTTGAAACACTCTTTTTGTGTAATTTGCTAGTGCAGATTTCAAGCTCTTCGAGGACAATGGTAGAAAAGGAAATATCTTCGTATGAAAACTAGACAAAATCATTCTCAGAAACTACTTTGTGATGTGTGCGTTCCACTCACAGAGTTTAACCTTTCTTTTAATTGAGCAGTTTGGAAACACTATTTTTGTAAAGTCTGCAAGTGGATATTTGGACTTCTTTGAGCCCTTCGTTGGAAACGGGATTTCTCCATATACTGCTAGACCGAAGCATTTTCAGTAACTACTTTGTGTTGTGTGTATTCAACTCACAGATTTGAACCTTTCTTTAGACAGAGCGGATTTGAAACGCTCTTTTCGTGGCTTTTGCATGTGGAGGTTTCAAACGATTTGAGGCCAATGGTACAAAAGGAAATATCTTCGTATAAAAACTAGAGAGAATCATTCTCAGAAATTACATTCTGATGTGTGCGTGCAACTCACGGAGATTAACCTTTCTTTTCATAGAGCAGTTTGGAAAGACTCTGTCTGTAAGGTCTGCAAGTGGATATTTAGATTTCTGTGAGGCCTTCGTTGCAAACGGGATTTCTTCATATACTCACAGACAGAAGAATTCTCAGTAACTCTTTGTGTTGTGTGCATTCAACTCACGGAGTTGAACCTTCCTTTATTCAGAGCAGTTTTGAAACACTCTTTTTGTGGAATTTGCAAGTGGAGATTTCAAGGGATTTGAGGCCAATCTTAGAAATGGAAATATCTTCGAATTAAAACTACACAGAATCGTTCGCAGAAACTAGTTTGTGATGTGTGCGTTCAACTCACAGAGTTTAACGTTTCTTTTCATAGAGCAGTTTGGAAACGCTCTCTTTGTAAAGTCTCCAAGTGGATATTTGGAGCTGTTTGAGCCCTTCGTTGGAAACGGGACTTCTTCATATAATGCTAGACAGAAGAATACTCAGTAACTTCTTTGTGCTGTGTGTATTCAAATCACAGAGTTGAACTTTTCTTTAGACAGAGCAGATTTGATACTCTCTTTTCGTGGCTTTTGCCAGAGGAGATTTCAAGTCATTGGAGGCCAATGGTAGAAAAGAAAATATCTTCGTATAATAACTAAACAGAATCATTCTCAGAAACTTCTTTGTGATGTGTGCGTTCAACTCACAGAGTTTAACCTTTCTTTTCATAGAGCAGGTTGGAAGCACTCTCTTTGTAAAGTCTGCAAGCAGATATTTGGACCTTTTTGAGGCCTTCGTTGGAAACGGGATTTCTTCATATACTGCTAGACCGAAGAATTCTCAGTAACTTCTTTGGGTTGTGTGTATTCAATTCACAGATTTGAACCTTTCTTTAGACCGAGCAGATTTGAAACTCTCCTTTTGTTGCTTTTGCAAGTGGAGATTTCAAGCGATTTGAGGCCAATTGTAGAAAAGGAAATATCTTCGTATAAAAACTAGACAGAACAATTCTCAGAAACTGCTCTGTGATTTGTGCGTTCAACTCACAGATTTTAAACTTTCTTTTCATAGAGCAGTTTGGAAACACTCTTTTTGTAAAGTCTGCAAGCGGATATTTGGACCTCTTTCAGGCCTTCTTTGGAAACGGGATTTCTCCATATACTGCTAGCCCGAAGACTTTTCAGTAACTACTTTGTGTTGTGTGTATTCAACTCACAGATTTGAACCTTTCTTTAGACAGAGCAGATTTGAAATGCACTTTTCGTGGCTTTTGCAAGTAAAGATTTCAAGCGATTTGAGGCCAATGGTAGAAAAGGAAATATCTTCGTATAAAAAGTAGACAGAATCATTCTCAGAATCTACTTTGTGATGTGTGCGTGCAACTCACGGAGATTAACCTTTCTTTTCATAGAGAAGTTTGGAAACACTCTGTCTGTAAGGTCTGCAAGTGGATATTTAGATTTCTGTGAGGCCTTCGTTGCAAACGGGATTTCTTCATATACTGCCCGACAGAAGAATTCTCAGTTACTACTTTCTGCTGTGTGCATTCAACTCACAGAGTTGAACCTTTCTTTATTCAGAGCAATTTTGAAACACTGTTTTTGTGGAATTTGCAAGTGGAGATTTCAAGGGATTTGAGGCCAATCTTAGAAATGGAAATATCTTCGAATTAAAACTACACAGAATCATTCGCAGAAACTAGTTTGTGATGTGTGCGTTCAACTCACAGAGTTTAACGTTTCTTTTCATAGAGCAGTTTGGAAACGCTGTCTTTGTAAAGTATGCAAGTGGATATTAGGACCCTTTTGAGGCCTTCGTTGGAAACGGGATTTCCTCCTATAATGCTGGACAGAAGAATTCCCAGTCACTTCTTAGTGTTGTGTGCATTCAACTCAGAGATTTGAACCTTCCTTTAGAGAGAGCACATTTAAAACACTCTTTTTGTGTAATTTGCTAGTGCAGATTTCAAGCTCTTCGAGGACAATGGTAGGAAAGGAAATATCTTCGTATTAAAACTAGACAAAATCATTCTCAGAAACTACTTTGTGATGTGTGCGTTCCACTCACAGAGTTTAACCTTTCTTTTAATTGAGCAGTTTGGAAACACTCTCTTTGTAAAGTCTGCAGTAGGATATTTGGACCTCTTTGAGGCCTTCGTTGGAAACGGGATTTCTTCATATAATGCTAGATAGAAGAATTCTCAGTAACTTGTTTGTGTTGTGTGTATTAAACTAACAGAGTTGAACCTTCCTTTAGAAAGAGCAGTTTTCAAACACTCTGTTTGTGCAATTTCCAATGCAGATTTCTAGGGATTTGAGGCCAGTCTTAGAAATGGAAATATCTTTGTATAAAAACTAGACAGTGTCATTCTGAGATACTACCTTGTGATGTGTGCGTTCAACTCACAGAGTTTAACCTTTCTTTTCATAGAGCAGTTTGGAAACACTCTATTTGTAAAGTCTGCAAGTGGATATTTGGACCTCTTTGAGGCCTTCATTGGAAACGGGATTTCTTCCTATAATGCTAGACAGAAGTATTCTCAGTCACTTCTTTGTGTTGTGTGCATTCAACTCAGAGATTTGAACCTTCCTTTAGAGAGAGCACATTTGAAACACTCTTTTTGTGTAATTTGCTAGTGCAGATTTCAAGCTCTTCGAGGACAATGGTAGAAAAGGAAATATCTTCGTAGGAAAACTAGACAAACTCATTCTCAGAAACTACTTTGTGATGTGTGCGTTCCACTCACAGAGTTTAACCTTTCTTTTAATTGAGCTGTTTGGAAACACTATTTTTGTAAAGTCTGCAAGTGGATATTTGGACTTCTTTGAGCCCTTCGTTGGAAAGGGGACTTCTTCATATAATGCTAGACAGAAGAGTACTCAGTAACTTCTTTGTGCTGTGTGTATTCAACTCACAGAGTTGAACTTTTCTTTAGACAGAGCAGATTTGATACTCTCTTTTCGTGGCTTTTGCCAGAGGAGATTTCAAGTCATTGGAGGTCAATGGTAGAAAAGAAAATATCTTCGTATAGTAACTAAACAGAATCGTTCTCAGAAACTTCTTTGTGATGTGTGCGTTCAACTCACAGAGTTTAACCTTTCTTTTCATAGAGCAGGTTGGAAGCACTCTCTTTGTAAAGTCTGCAAGCAGATATTTGGACCTTTTTGAGGCCTTCGTTGGAAACGGGATTTCTTCATATACTGCTAGACCGAAGAATTCTCAGTAACTTCTTTGGGTTGTGTGTATTCAATTCACAGAGTTGAACCTTTCTTTAGACCGAGCAGATTTGAAACTCTCCTTTCGTTGCTTTTGCAAGTGGAGATTTCAAGCGATTTGAGGCCAATTGTAGAAAAGGAAATATCTTCGTATAAAAACTAGACAGAACAATTCTCAGAAACTGCTCTGTGATTTGTGCGTTCAACTCACAGATTTTAAACTTTCTTTTCATAGAGCAGTTTGGAAACACTCTTTTTGTAAAGTCTGCAAGCGGATATTTGGACCTCTTTCAGGCCTTCTTTGGAAACGGGATTTCTCCATATACTGCTAGCCCGAAGCATTTTCAGTAACTACTTTGTGTTGTGTGTATTCAACTCACAGATTTGAACCTTTCTTTAGACAGAGCAGATTTGAAACGCTCTTTTCGTGGCTTTTGCAAGTAAAGATTTCAAGCGATTTGAGGCCAATGGTAGAAAAGGAAATATCTTCGTATAAAAACTAGACAGAATAATTCCCAGAATCTACTTTGTGATGTGTGCGTGCAACTCACGGAGATTAACCTTTCTTTTCATAGAGAAGTTTGGAAACACTCTGTCTGTAAGGTCTGCAAGTGGATATTTAGATTTCTGTGAGGCCTTCGTTGCAAACGGGATTTCTTCATATACTGCCCGACAGAAGAATTCTCAGTTACTACTTTCTGTTGTGTGCATTCAACTCACAGAGTTGAACCTTCCTTTATTCAGAGCAGTTTTGAAACACTCTTTTTGTGGAATTTGCAAGTGGAGATTTCAAGGGATTTGAGGCCAATCTTAGAAATGGAAATATCTTCGAATTAAAACTACACAGAATCATTCGCAGAAACTAGTTTGTGATGTGTGCGTTCAACTCACAGAGTTTAACGTTTCTTTTCATAGAGCAGTTTGGAAACGCTGTCTTTGTAAAGTCTGCAAGTGGATATTAGGACCTCTTTGAGGCCTTCGTTGGAAACGGGATTTCCTCCTATAATGCTGGACAGAAGAATTCCCAGTCACTTCTTTGTGTTGTGTGCATTCAACTCAGAGATTTGAACCTTCCTTTAGAGAGAGCACATTTAAAACACTCTTTTTGTGTAATTTGCTAGTGCAGATTTCAAGCTCTTCGAGGACAATGGTAGGAAAGGAAATATCTTCGTATTAAAACTAGACAAAATCATTCTCAGAAACTACTTTGTGATGTGTGCGTTCCACTCACAGAGTTTAACCTTTCTTTTAATTGAGCAGTTTGGAAACACTCTCTTTGTAAAGTCTGCAGTAGGATATTTGGACCTCTTTGAGGCCTTCGTTGGAAACGGGATTTCTTCATATAATGCTAGATAGAAGAATTCTCAGTAACTTGTTTGTGTTGTGTGTATTCAACCAACAGAGTTGAACCTTCCTTTAGAAAGAGCAGTTTTCAAACACTCTGTTTGTGCAATTTCCAATGGAGATTTCTAGGGATTTGAGGCCAGTCTTAGAAATGGAAATATCTTTGTATAAAAACTAGACAGTGTCATTCTGAGATACTACCTTGTGATGTGTGTGTTCAACTCACAGAGTTTAACCTTTCTTTTCATAGAGCAGTTTGGAAACACTCTATTTGTAAAGTCTGCAAGTGGATATTTGGACCTCTTTGAGGCCTTCTTTGGAAACGGGATTTCTTCCTGTAATGCTAGACAGCAGTATTCTCAGTCACTTCTTTGTGTTGTGTGCATTCAACTCAGGGATTTGAACCTTCCTTTAGAGAGAGCACATTTGAAACACTCTTTTTGTGTAATTTGCCAATGCAGATTTCAAGCTCTTCGAGGACAATGGTAGAAAAGGAAATATCTTCGTATGAAAACTAGACAAACTCATTCTCAGAAACTACTTTGTGATGTGTGCCTTCCACTCACAGAGTTTAACCTTTCTTTTAATTGAGCAGTTTGGAAACACTATTTTTGTAAAGTCTGCAAGTGGATATTTGGACTTCTTTGAGCCCTTCATTGGAAACGGGATTTCTCCATATACTGCTAGACCGAAGCATTTTCAGTAACTACTTTGTGTTGTGTGTATTCAACTCACAGATTTGAACCTTTCTTTAGACAGAGCAGATTTGAAACGCTCTTTTCGTGGCTTTTGCATGTGGAGGTTTCAAACGATTTGAGGCCAATGGTAGAAAAGGAAATATCTTCGTATAAAAACTAGAGAGAATCATTCTCAGAAATTACTTTCTGATGTGTGCGTGCAACTCACGGAGATTAACCTTTCTTTTCATAGAGCAGTTTGGAAAGACTCTGTCTGTAAGGTCTGCAAGTGGATATTTAGATTTCTGTGAGGCCTTCGTTGCAAACGGGATTTCTTCATATACTCACAGACAGAAGAATTCTCAGTAACTCTTTGTGTTGTGTGCATTCAACTCACGGAGTTGAACCTTCCTTTATTCAGAGCAGTTTTGAAACACTCTTTTTGTGGAATTTGCAAGTGGAGATTTCAAGGGATTTGAGGCCAATCTTAGAAATGGAAATATCTTCGAATTAAAACTACACAGAATCGTTCGCAGAAACTAGTTTGTGATGTGTGCGTTCAACTCACAGAGTTTAACGTTTCTTTTCATAGAGCAGTTTGGAAACGCTCTCTTTGTAAAGTCTCCAAGTGGATATTTGGAGCTGTTTGAGCCCTTCGTTGGAAACGGGACTTCTTCATATAATGCTAGACAGAAGAATACTCAGTAACTTCTTTGTGCTGTGTGTATTCAACTCACAGAGTTGAACTTTTCTTTAGACAGAGCAGATTTGATACTCTCTTTTCGTGGCTTTTGCCAGAGGAGATTTCAAGCGATTTGGGGCCAATTGTAGAAAAGGAAATATCTTCGTATAATAACTAAACAGAATCATTCTCAGAAACTTCTTTGTGATGTGTGCGTTCAACTCACAGAGTTTAACCTTTCTTTTCATAGAGCAGGTTGGAAGCACTCTCTTTGTAAAGTCTGCAAGCAGATATTTGGACCTTTTTGAGGCCTTCGTTGGAAACGGGATTTCTTCATATACTGCTAGACCGAAGAATTCTCAGTAACTTCTTTGGGTTGTGTGTATTCAATTCACAGAGTTGAACCTTTCTTTAGACCGAGCAGATTTGAAACTCTCCTTTCGTTGCTTTTGCAAGTGGAGATTTCAAGCGATTTGGGGCCAATTGTAGAAAAGGAAATATCTTCGTATAAAAACTAGACAGAACAATTCTCAGAAACTGCTCTGTGATTTGTGCGTTCAACTCACAGATTTTAAACTTTCTTTTCATAGAGCAGTTTGGAAACACTCTTTTTGTAACGTCTGCAAGCGGATATTTGGACCTCTTTCAGGCCTTCTTTGGAAACGGGATTTCTCCATATACTGCTAGCCCGAAGAATTTTCAGTAACTACTTTGTGTTGTGTGTATTCAACTCACAGATTTGAACCTTTCTTTAGACAGAGCAGATTTGAAACGCTCTTTTCGTGGCTTTTGCAAGTAAAGATTTCAAGCGATTTGAGGCCAATGGTAGAAAAGGAAATATCTTCGTATAAAAACTAGACAGAATCATTCTCAGAATCTACTTTGTGATGTGTGCGTGCAACTCACGGAGATTAACCTTTCTTTTCATAGAGAAGTTTGGAAACACTCTGTCTGTAAGGTCTGCAAGTGGATATTTAGATTTCTGTGAGGCCTTCGTTGCAAACGGGATTTCTTCATATACTGCCCGACAGAAGAATTCTCAGTAACTAATTTGTGTTGTGTGCATTCAACTCACAGTGTTGAACCTTCCTTTATTCAGAGCAGTTTTGAAACACACTTTTTGTGGAATTTGCAAGTGGAGATTTCAAGGGATTTGAGGCCAATCTTAGAAATGGAAATATCTTCGAATTAAAACTACACAGAATCATTCGCAGAAACTAGTTTGTGATGTGTGCGTTCAACTCACAGAGTTTAACGTTTCTTTTCATAGAGCAGTTTGGAAACGCTGTCTTTGTAAAGTCTGCAAGTGGATATTAGGACCTCTTTGAGGCCTTCTTTGGAAACGGGATTTCCTCCTATAATGCTAGACAGAAGAATTCCCAGTCACTTCTTTGTGTTGTGTGCATTCAACTCAGAGATTTGAACCTTCCTTTAGAGAGAGCACATTTGAAACACTCTTTTTGTGTAATTTGCTAGTGCAGATTTCAAGCTCTTCGAGGACAATGGTAGGAAAGGAAATATCTTTGTATTAAAACTAGACAAAATCATTCTCAGAAACTACTTTGTGATGTGTGCGTTCCACTCACAGACTTTAACCTTTCTTTTAATTGAGCAGTTTGGAAACACTCTCTTTGTAAAGTCTGCAGTAGGATATTTGGACCTCTTTGAGGCCTTCGTTGGAAACGGGATTTCTTCATATAATGCTAGATAGAAGAATTCTCAGTAACTTGTTTGTGTTGTGTGTATTCAACTAACAGAGTTGAACCTTCCTTTAGAAAGAGCAGTTTTCAAACACTCTGTTTGTGCAATTTCCAATGGAGATTTCTAGGGATTTGAGGCCAGTCTTAGAAATGGAAATATCTTTGTATAAAAACTAGACAGTGTCATTCTGAGATAGTACCTTGTGATGTGTGCGTTCAACTCACAGAGTTTAACCTTTCTTTTCATAGAGCAGTTTGGAAACACTCTATTTGTAAAGTCTGCAAGTGGATATTTGGACCTCTTTGAGGCCTTCGTTGGAAACGGGATTTCTTCCTGTAATGCTAGACAGAAGTATTCTCAGTCACTTCTTTGTGTTGTGTGCATTCAACTCAGAGATTTGAAACTTCCTTTAGAGAGAGCACATTTGAAACACTCTTTTTGTGTAATTTGCTAGTGCAGATTTCAAGCTCTTCGAGGACAATGGTAGAAAAGGCAATATCTTCGTATGAAAACTAGACAAACTCATTCTCAGAAACTACTTTGTGATGTGTGCGTTCCACTCACAGAGTTTAACCTTTCTTTTAATTGAGCAGTTTGGAAACACTATTTTTGTAAAGTCTGCAAGTGGATATTTGGACTTCTTTGAGCCCTTCGTTGGAAACGGGATTTCTCCATATACTGCTAGACCGAAGCATTTTCAGTAACTACTTTGTGTTGTGTGTATTCAACTCACAGATTTGAACCTTTCTTTAGACAGAGCAGATTTGAAACGCTCTTTTCGTGGCTTTTGCATGTGGAGGTTTCAAACGATTTGAGGCCAATGGTAGAAAAGGAAATATCTTCGTATAAAAACTAGAGAGAATCATTCTCAGAAATTACTTTCTGATGTGTGCGTGCAACTCACGGAGATTAACCTTTCTTTTCATAGAGCAGTTTGGAAAGACTCTGTCTGTAAGGTCTGCAAGTGGATATTTAGATTTCCTGTGAGGCCTTCGTTGCAAACGGGATTTCTTCATATACTCACAGACAGAAGAATTCTCAGTAACTCTTTGTGTTGTGTGCATTCAACTCACGGAGTTGAACCTTCCTTTATTCAGAGCAGTTTTGAAACACTCTTTTTGTGGAATTTGCAAGTGGAGATTTCAAGGGATTTGAGGCCAATCTTAGAAATGGAAATATCTTCGAATTAAAACTACACAGAATCGTTCGCAGAAACTAGTTTGTGATGTGTGCGTTCAACTCACAGAGTTTAACGTTTCTTTTCATAGAGCAGTTTGGAAACGCTCTCTTTGTAAATTCTCCAAGTGGATATTTGGAGCTGTTTGAGCCCTTCGTTGGAAACGGGACTTCTTCATATAATGCTAGACAGAAGAATACTCAGTAACTTCTTTGTGCTGTGTGTATTCAACTCACAGAGTTGAACTTTTCTTTAGACAGAGCAGATTTGATACTCTCTTTTCGTGGCTATTGCCAGAGGAGATTTCAAGTCATTGGAGGCCAATGGTAGAAAAGAAAATATCTTCGTATAATAACTAAACAGAATCATTCTCAGAAGCTTCTTTGTGATGTGTGCGTTCAACTCACAGAGTTTAACCTTTCTTTTCATAGAGCAGGTTGGAAGCACTCTCTTTGTAAAGTCTGCAAGCAGATATTTGGACCTTTTTGAGGCCTTCGTTGGAAACGAGATTTCTTCATATACTGCTAGACCAAAGAATTCTCAGTAACTTCTTTGGGTTGTGTGTATTCAATTCACAGAGTTGAACCTTTCTTTAGACCGAGCAGATTTGAAACTCTCCTTTCGTTGCTTTTGCAAGTGGAGATTTCAAGCGATTTGAGGCCAATTGTAGAAAAGGAAATATCTTCGTATAAAAACTAGACAGAAAATTTCTCAGAAACTGCTCTGTGATTTGTGCGTTCAACTCACAGATTTTAAACTTTCTTTTCATAGAGCAGTTTGGAAACACTCTTTTTGTAAAGTCTGCAAGCGGATATTTGGACTTCTTTCAGGCCTTCTTTGGAAACGGGATTTCTCCATATACTGCTAGCCCGAAGCATTTTCAGTAACTACTTTGTGTTGTGTGTATTTAACTCACAGATTTGAACCTTTCCTTAGACAGAGCAGATTTGAAACGCTCTTTTCGTGGCTTTTGCAAGTAAAGATTTCAAGCGATTTGAGGCCAATAGTAGAAAAGGAAATATCTTCGTGTAAAAACTAGAGAGAATCATTCTCAGAATCTACTTTGTGATGTGTGCGTGCAACTCACGGAGATTAACCTTTCTTTTCATAGAGAAGTTTGGAAACACTCTGTCTGTAAGGTCTGCAAGTGGATATTTAGATTTCTGTGAGGCCTTCGTTGCAAACGGGATTTCTTCATATACTGCCCGACAGAAGAATTCTCAGTTACTACTTTCTGTTGTGTGCATTCAACTCAAAGAGTTGAACCTTCCTTTATTCAGAGCAGTTTTGAAACACTCTTTTTGTGGAATTTGCAAGTGGAGATTTCAAGGGATTTGAGGCCAATCTTAGAAATGGAAATATCATCGAATTAAAACTACACAGAATCATTCGCAGAAACTAGTTTGTGATGTGTGCGTTCAACTCACAGAGTTTAACGTTTCTTTTCATAGAGCAGTTTGGAAACGCTGTCTTTGTAAAGTCTGCAAGTGGATATTAGGACCTCTTTGAGGCCTTCGTTGGAAACGGGATTTCCTCCTATAATGCTAGACAGAAGAATTCCCAGTCACTTCTTTGTGTTGTGTGCATTCAACTCAGAGATTTGAACCTTCCTTTAGAGAGAGCACATTTGAAACACTCTTTTTGTGTAATTTGCTAGTGCAGATTTCAAGCTCTTCGAGGACAATGGTAGGAAAGGAAATATCTTTGTATTAAAACTAGACAAAATCATTCTCAGAAACTACTTTGTGATGTGTGCGTTCCACTCACAGACTTTAACCTTTCTTTTAATTGAGCAGTTTGGAAACACTCTCTTTGTAAAGTCTGCAGTAGGATATTTGGACCTCTTTGAGGCCTTCGTTGGAAACGGGATTTCTTCATATAATGCTAGATAGAAGAATTCTCAGTAACTTGTTTGTGTTGTGTGTATTCAACTAACAGAGTTGAACCTTCCTTTAGAAAGAGCAGTTTTCAAACACTCTGTTTGTGCAGTTTCCAATGGAGATTTCTAGGGATTTGAGGCCAGTCTTAGAAATGGAAATATCTTTGTATAAAAACTAGACAGTGTCATTCTGAGATACTACCTTGTGATGTGTGCGTTCAACTCACAGAGTTTAACCTTTCTTTTCATAGAGCAGTTTGGAAACACTCTATTTGTAAAGTCTGCAAGTGGATATTTGGACCTCTTTGAGGCCTTCGTTGGAAACGGGATTTCTTCCTATAATGCTAGACAGAAGTATTCTCAGTCACTTCTTTGTGTTGTGTGCATTCAACTCAGAGATTTGAACCTTCCTTTAGAGAGAGCACATTTGAAACACTCTATTTGTGTAATTTGCTAGTACAGATTTCAAGCTCTTCAAGGACAATGGTAGAAAAGGAAATATCTTCGTATGAAAACGAGACAAACTCATTCTCAGAAACTACTTTGTGATGTGTGCGTTCCACTCACAGAGTTTAACCTTTCTTTTAATTGAGCAGTTTGGAAACACTATTTTTGTAAAGTCTGCAAGTGGATATTTGGACTTCTTTGAGCCCTTCGTTGGAAACGGGATTTCTCCATATACTGCTAGATCGAAGCATTTTCAGTAACTACTTTGTGTTGTGTGTATTCAACTCACAGATTTGAACCTTTCTTTAGACAGAGCAGATTTGAAACGCTCTTTTCGTGGCTTTTGCATGTGGAGGTTTCAAACGATTTGAGGCCAATGGTAGAAAAGGAAATATCTTCGTATAAAAACTAGAGAGAATCATTCTCAGAAATTACTTTCTGATGTGTGCGTGCAACTCACGGAGATTAACCTTTCTTTTCATAGAGCAGTTTGGAAAGACTCTGTCTGTAAGGTCTGCAAGTGGATATTTAGATTTCTGTGAGGCCTTCGTTGCAAATGGGATTTCTTCATATACTCACAGACAGAAGAATTCTCAGTAACTACTTTGTGTTGTGTGCATTCAACTCACAGAGTTGAACCTTCCTTTATTCAGAGCAGTTTTGAAACACTCTTTTTGTGGAATTTGCAAGTGGAGATTTCAAGGGATTTGAGGCCAATCTTAGAAATGGAAATATCTTCGAATTAAAACTACACAGAATCGTTCGCAGAAACTAGTTTGTGATGTGTGCGTTCAACTCACAGAGTTTAACGTTTCTTTTCATAGAGCAGTTTGGAAACGCTCTCTTTGTAAAGTCTCCAAGTGGATATTTGGAGCTCTTTGAGCCCTTCGTTGGAAACGGGACTTCTTCATATAATGCTAGACAGAAGAATACTCAGTAACTTCTTTGTGCTGTGTGTATTCAACTCACAGAGTTGAACTTTTCTTTAGACAGAGCAGATTTGATACTCTCTTTTCATGGGTTTTGCCAGAGGAGATTTCAAGTCATTGGAGGCCAATGGTAGAAAAGAAAATATCTTCGTATAATAACTAAACAGAATCATTCTCAGAAACTTCTTTGTGATGTGTGCGTTCAACTCACAGAGTTTAACCTTTCTTTTCATAGAGCAGGT
This sequence comes from Homo sapiens, assembly GCF_000001405.40. NCBI lineage: Eukaryota > Metazoa > Chordata > Mammalia > Primates > Hominidae > Homo > Homo sapiens. The sequence goes on from NC_000010.11 coordinate 39,776,303, forward strand.
TGGAAGCACTCTCTTGGTAAAGTCTGCAAGCAGATATTTGGACCTTTTTGAGGCCTTCGTTGGAAACGGGATTTCTTCATATACTGCTAGACCGAAGAATTCTCAGTAACTTCTTTGGGTTGTGTGTATTCAATTCACAGAGTTGAACCTTTCTTTAGACCGAGCAGATTTGAAACTCTCCTTTCGTTGCTTTTGCAAGTGGAGATTTCAAGCGATTTGAGGCCAATTGTAGAAAAGGAAATATCTTCGTACAAAAACTAGACAGAACAATTCTCAGAAACTGCTCTGTGATTTGTGCGTTCAACTCACAGATTTTAAACTTTCTTTTCATAGAGCAGTTTGGAAACACTCTTTTTGTAAAGTCTGCAAGCGGATATTTGGACCTCTTTCAGGCCTTCTTTGGAAACGGGATTTCTCCATATACTGCTAGCCCGAAGAATTTTCAGTAACTACTTTGTGTTGTGTGTATTCAACTCACAGATTTGAACCTTTCTTTAGACAGAGCAGATTTGAAATGCTCTTTTCGTGGCTTTTGCAAGTAAAGATTTCAAGCGATTTGAGGCCAATGGTAGAAAAGGAAATATCTTCGTATAAAAACTAGACAGAATCATTCTCAGAATCTAATTTGTGATGTGTGCGTGCAACTCACGGAGATTAACCTTTCTTTTCATAGAGAAGTTTGGAAACACTCTGTCTGTAAGGTCTGCAAGTGGAAATTTAGATTTCTGTGAGGCCTTCGTTGCAAACGGGATTTCTTCATATACTGCCCGACAGAAGAATTCTGTTACTACTTTCTGTTGTGTGCATTCAACTCACAGAGTTGAACCTTCCTATATTCAGAGCAGTTTTGAAACACTCTTTTTGTGGAATTTGCAAGTGAAGATTTCAAGGGATTTGAGGCCAATCTTAGAAATGGAAATATCTTCGAATTAAAACTACACAGAATCATTCGCAGAAACTAGTTTGTGATGTGTGCGTTCAACTCACAGAGTTTAACGTTTCTTTTCATAGAGCAGTTTGGAAACGCTGTCTTTGTAAAGTCTGCAAGTGGATATTAGGACCTCTTTGAGGCCTTCGTTGGAAACGGGATTTCCTCCTATAATGCTAGACAGAAGAATTCCCAGTCACTTCTTTGTGTTGTGTGCATTCAACTCAGAGATTTGAACCTTCCTTTAGAGAGAGCACATTTGAAACACTCTTTTTGTGTAATTTGCTAGTGCAGATTTCAAGCTCTTCGAGGACAATGGTAGGAAAGGAAATATCTTTGTATTAAAACTAGACAAAATCATTCTCAGAAACTACTTTGTGATGTGTGCGTTCCACTCACAGACTTTAACCTTTCTTTTAATTGAGCAGTTTGGAAACACTCTCTTTGTAAAGTCTGCAGTAGGATATTTGGACCTCTTTGAGGCCTTCGTTGGAAACGGGATTTCTTCATATAATGCTAGATAGAAGAGTTCTCAGTAACTTGTTTGTGTTGTGTGTATTCAACTAACAGAGTTGAACCTTCCTTTAGAAAGAGCAGTTTTCAAACACTCTGTTTGTGCAATTTCCAATGGAGATTTCTAGGGATTTGAGGCCAGTCTTAGAAATGGAAATATCTTTGTATAAAAACTAGACAGTGTCATTCTGAGATACTACCTTGTGATGTGTGCGTTCAACTCACAGAGTTTAACCTTTCTTTTCATAGAGCAGTTTGGAAACACTCTATTTGTAAAGTCTGCAAGTGGATATTTGGACCTCTTTGAGGCCTTCGTTGGAAACGGGATTTCTTCCTATAATGCTAGACAGAAGTATTCTCAGTCACTTCTTTGTGTTGTGTGCATTCAACTCAGAGATTTGAACCTTCCTTTAGAGAGAGCACATTTGAAACACTCTTTTTGTGTATTTTGCTAGTGCAGATTTCAAGCTCTTCGAGGACAATGGTAGAAAAGGCAATATCTTCGTATGAAAACTAGACAAACTCATTCTCAGAAACTACTTTGTGATGTGTGCGTTCCACTCACAGAGTTTAACCTTTCTTTTAATTGAGCAGTTTGGAAACACTATTTTTGTAAACTCTGCAAGTGGATATTTGGACTTCTTTGAGCCCTTCGTTGGAAACGGGATTTCTCCATATACTGCTAGACCGAAGCATTTTCAGTAACTACTTTGTGTTGTGTGTATTCAACTCACAGATTTGAACCTTTCTTTAGACAGAGCAGATTTGAAACGCTCTTTTCGTGGCTTTTGCATGTGGAGGTTTCAAACGATTTGAGGCCAATGGTAGAAAAGGAAATATCTTCGTATAAAAACTAGAGAGAATCATTCTCAGAAATTACTTTCTGATGTGTGCGTGCAACTCACGGAGATTAACCTTTCTTTTCATAGAGCAGTTTGGAAAGACTCTGTCTGTAAGGTCTGCAAGTGGATATTTAGATTTCTGTGAGGCCTTCGTTGCAAACGGGATTTCTTCATATACTCACAGACAGAAGAATTCTCAGTAACTCTTTGTGTTGTGTGCATTCAACTCACGGAGTTGAACCTTCCTTTATTCAGAGCAGTTTTGAAACACTCTTTTTGTGGAATTTGCAAGTGGAGATTTCAAGGGATTTGAGGCCAATCTTAGAAATGGAAATATCTTCGAATTAAAACTACACAGAATCGTTCGCAGAAACTAGTTTGTGATGTGTGCGTTCAACTCACAGAGTTTAACGTTTCTTTCCATAGAGCAGTTTGGAAACGCTCTCTTTGTAAAGTCTCCAAGTGGATATTTGGAGCTCTTTGAGCCCTTCGTTGGAAACGGGACTTCTTCATATAATGCTAGACAGAAGAGTACTCAGTAACTTCTTTGTGCTGTGTGTATTCAACTCACAGAGTTGAACTTTTCTTTAGACAGAGCAGATTTGATACTCTCTTTTCGTGGCTTTTGCCAGAGGAGATTTCAAGACATTGGAGGTCAATGGTAGAAAAGAAAATATCTTCGTATAGTAACTAAACAGAATCATTCTCAGAAACTTCTTTGTGATGTGTGCGTTCAACTCACAGAGTTTAACCTTTCTTTTCATAGAGCAGGTTGGAAGCACTCTCTTTGTAAAGTCTGCAAGCAGATATTTGGACCTTTTTGAGGCCTTCGTTGGAAACGGGATTTCTTCATATACTGCTAGACCGAAGAATTCTCAGTAACTTCTTTGGGTTGTGTGTATTCAATTCACAGAGTTGAACCTTTCTTTAGACCGAGCAGATTTGAAACTCTCCTTTCGTTGCTTTTGCAAGTGGAGATTTCAAGCGATTTGAGGCCAATTGTAGAAAAGGAAATATCTTCGTATAAAAACTAGACAGAACAATTCTCAGAAACTGCTCTGTGATTTGTGCGTTCAACTCACAGATTTTAAACTTTCTTTTCATAGAGCAGTTTGGAAACACTCTTTTTGTAAAGTCTGCAAGCGGATATTTGGACCTCTTTCAGGCCTTCTTTGGAAACGGGATTTCTCCATATACTGCTAGCCCGAAGAATTTTCAGTAACTACTTTGTGTTGTGTGTATTCAACTCACAGATTTGAACCTTTCTTTAGACAGAGCAGATTTGAAACGCTCTTTTCGTGGCTTTTGCAAGTAAAGATTTCAAGCGATTTGAGGCCAATGGTAGAAAAGGAAATATCTTCGTATAAAAACTAGACAGAATCATTCTCAGAATCTACTTTGTGATGTGTGCGTGCAACTCACGGAGATTAACCTTTCTTTTCATAGAGAAGTTTGGAAACACTCTGTCTGTAAGGTCTGCAAGTGGATATTTAGATTTCTGTGAGGCCTTCGTTGCAAACGGGATTTCTTCATATACTGCCCGACAGAAGAATTCTCAGTTACTACTTTCTGTTTTGTGCATTCAACTCACAGAGTTGAACCTTCCTTTATTCAGAGCAGTTTTGAGACACTCTTTTTGTGGAATTTGCAAGTGGAGATTTCAAGGGATTTGAGGCCAATCTTAGAAATGGAAATATCTTCGAATTAAAACTACACAGAATCATTCGCAGAAACTAGTTTGTGATGTGTGCGTTCAACTCACAGAGTTTAACGTTTCTTTTCATAGAGCAGTTTGGAAACGCTGTCTTTCTAAAGTCTGCAAGTGGATATTAGGACCTCTTTGAGGCCTTCGTTGGAAACGGGATTTCCTCCTATAATGCTAGACAGAAGAATTCCCAGTCACTTCTTTGTGTTGTGTGCATTCAACTCAGAGATTTGAACCTTCCTTTAGAGAGAGCACATTTAAAACACTCTTTTTGTGTAATTTGCTAGTGCAGATTTCAAGCTCTTCGAGGACAATGGTAGGAAAGGAAATATCTTCGTATGAAAACTAGACAAACTCATTCTCAGAAACTACTTTGTGATGTGTGCGTTCCACTCACAGAGTTTAACCTTTCTTTTAATTGAGCAGTTTGGAAACACTCTCTTTGTAAAGTCTGCAGTAGGATATTTGGACCTCTTTGAGGCCTTCGTTGGAAACGAGATTTCTTCATATAATGCTAGATAGAAGAATTCTCAGTAACTTGTTTGTGTTGTTTGTATTCAACTAACAGAGTTGAACCTTCCTTTAGAAAGAGCAGTTTTCAAACACTCTGTTTGTGCAATTTCCAATGGAGATTTCTAGGGATTTGAGGCCAGTCTTAGAAATGGAAATATCTTTGTATAAAAACTAGACAGTGTCATTCTGAGATACTACCTTGTGATGTGTGCGTTCAACTCACAGAGTTTAACCTTTCTATTCATAGAGCAGTTTGGAAACACTCTATTTGTAAAGTCTGCAAGTGGATATTTGGACCTCTTTGAGGCCTTCGTTGGAAACGGGATTTCTTCCTATAATGCTAGACAGAAGTATTCTCAGTCACTTCTTTGTGTTGTGTGCATTCAACTCAGAGATTTGAACCTTCCTTTAGAGAGAGCACATTTGAAACACTCTTTTTGTGTAATTTGCTAGTGCAGATTTCAAGCTCTTCGAGGACAATGGTAGAAAAGGAAATATCTTCGTATGAAAACTAGACAAACTCATTCTCAGAAACTACTTTGTGATGTGTGCGTTCCACTCACAGAGTTTAACCTTTCTTTTAATTGAGCTGTTTGGAAACACTATTTTTGTAAAGTCTGCAAGTGGATATTTGGACTTCTTTGAGCCCTTCGTTGGAAAGGGGACTTCTTCATATAATGCTAAACAGAAGCATTTTCAGTAACTACTTTGTGTTGTGTGTATTCAACTCACAGATTTGAACCTTTCTTTAGACAGAGCAGATTTGAAACGCTCTTTTCGTGGCTTTTGCATGTGGAGGTTTCAAACGATTTGAGGCCAATGGTAGAAAAGGAAATATGTTCGTATAAAAACTAGAGAGAATCATTCTCAGAAATTACTTTCTGATGTGTGCGTGCAACTCACGGAGATTAACCTTTCTTTTCATAGAGCAGTTTGGAAAGACTCTGTCTGTAAGGTCTGCAAGTGGATATTTAGATTTCTGTGAGGCCTTCGTTGCAAACGGGATTTCTTCATATACTCACAGACAGAAGAATTCTCAGTAACTCTTTGTGTTGTGTGCATTCAACTCACGGAGTTGAACCTTCCTTTATTCAGAGCAGTTTTGAAACACTCTTTTTGTGGAATTTGCAAGTGGAGATTTCAAGGGATTTGAGGCCAATCTTAGAAATGGAAATATCTTCGAATTAAAACTACACAGAATCGTTCGCAGAAACTAGTTTGTGATGTGTGCGTTCAACTCACAGTAGTTTAACGTTTCTTTTCATAGAGCAGTTTGGAAACGCTCTCTTTGTAAAGTCTCCAAGTGGATATTTGGAGCTGTTTGAGCCCTTCGTTGGAAACGGGACTTCTTCATATAATGCTAGACAGAAGAATACTCAGTAACTTCTTTGTGCTGTGTGTATTCAACTCACAGAGTTGAACTTTTCTTTAGACAGAGCAGATTTGATACTCTCTTTTCGTGGCTTTTGCCAGAGGAGATTTCAAGTCATTGGAGGCTAATGGTAGAAAAGAAAATATCTTCGTATAATAACTAAACAGAATCATTCTCAGAAACTTCTTTGTGATGTGTGCGTTCAACTCACAGAGTTTAACCTTTCTTTTCATAGAGCAGGTTGGAAGCACTCTCTTTGTAAAGTCTGCAAGCAGATATTTGGACCTTTTTGAGGCCTTCGTTGGAAACGGGATTTCTTCATATACTGCTAGACCGAAGAATTCTCAGTAACTTCTTTGGGTTGTGTGTATTGAATTCACAGAGTTGAACCTTTCTTTAGACCGAGCAGATTTGAAACTCTCCTTTCGTTGCTTTTGCAAGTGGAGATTTCAAGCGATTTGAGGCCAATTGTAGAAAAGGAAATATCTTCGTATAAAAACTAGACAGAACAATTCTCAGAAACTGCTCTGTGATTTGTGCGTTCAACTCACAGATTTTAAACTTTCTTTTCATAGAGCAGTTTGGAAACACTCTTTTTGTAAAGTCTGCAAGCGGATATTTGGACCTCTTTCAGGCCTTCTTTGGAAACGGGATTTCTCCATATACTGCTAGCCCGAAGCATTTTCAGTAACTACTTTGTGTTGTGTGTATTCAACTCACAGATTTGAACCTTTCTTTAGACAGAGCAGATTTGAAACGCTCTTTTCGTGGCTTTTGCAAGTAAAGATTTCAAGCGATTTGAGGCCAATGGTAGAAAAGGAAATATCTTCGTATAAAAACTAGACAGAATCATTCTCAGAATCTACTTTGTGATGTGTGCATGCAACTCACGGAGATTAACCTTTCTTTTCATAGAGAAGTTTGGAAACACTCTGTCTGTAAGGTCTGCAAGTGGATATTTAGATTTCTGTGAGGCCTTCGTTGCAAACGGGATTTCTTCATATACTGCCCGACAGAAGAATTCTCAGTTACTACTTTCTGTTGTGTGCATTCAACTCACAGAGTTGAATCTTCCTTTATTCAGAGCAGTTTTGAAACACTCTTTTTGTGGAATTTGCAAGTGGAGATTTCAAGGGATTTGAGGCCAATCTTAGAAATGTAAATATCTTCGAATTAAAACTACACAGAATCATTCGCAGAAACTAGTTTGTGATGTGTGCGTTCAACTCACAGAGTTTAACGTTTCTTTTCATAGAGCAGTTTGGAAACGCTGTCTTTGTAAAGTCTGCAAGTGGATATTAGGACCTCTTTGAGGCCTTCGTTGGAAACGGGATTTCCTCCTATAATGCTAGACAGAAGAATTCCCAGTCACTTCTTTGTGTTGTGTGCATTCAACTCAGAGATTTGAACCTTCCTTTAGAGAGAGCACATTTAAAACTCTCTTTTTGTGTAATTTGCTAGTGCAGATTTCAAGCTCTTCGAGGACAATGGTAGGAAAGGAAATATCTTCGCATTAAAACTAGACAAAATCATTCTCAGAAACTACTTTGTGATGTGTGCGTTCCACTCACAGAGTTTAACCTTTCTTTTAATTGAGCAGTTTGGAAACACTCTCTTTGATAGCCTGCAGTAGGATATTTGGACCTCTTTGAGGCCTTCGTTTGAAACGGGATTTCTTCATATAATGCTAGATAGAAGAGTTCTCAGTAACTTGTTTGTGTTGTGTGTATTCAACTAACAGAGTTGAACCTTCCTTTAGAAAGAGCAGTTTTCAAACACTCTGTTTGTGCAATTTCCAATGGAGATTTCTAGGGATTTGAGGCCAGTCTTAGAAATGGAAATATCTTTGTATAAAAACTAGACAGTGTCATTCTGAGATACTACCTTGTGATATGTGCGTTCAACTCACAGAGTTTAACCTTTCTTTTCATAGAGCAGTTTGGAAACACTCTATTTGTAAAGTCTGCAAGTGGATATTTGGACCTCTTTGAGGCCTTCGTTGGAAACGGGATTTCTTCCTATAATGCTAGACAGAAGTATTCTCAGTCACTTCTTTGTGTTGTGTGCATTCAACTCAGAGATTTGAACCTTCCTTCAGAGAGAGCACATTTGAAACACTCTTTTTGTGTAATTTGCTAGTGCAGATTTCAAGCTCTTCGAGGACAATGGTAGAAAAGGAAATATCTTCGTATGAAAACTAGACAAACTCATTCTCAGAAACTACTTTGTGATGTGTGCGTTCCACTCACAGAGTTTAACCTTTCTTTTAATTGAGCAGTTTGGAAACACTATTTTTGTAAAGTCTGCAAGTGGATATTTGGACTTCTTTGAGCCCTTCGTTGGAAACGGGATTTCTCCATATACTGCTAGACCGAAGCATTTTCAGTAACTACTTTGTGTTGTGTGTATTCAACTCACAGATTTGAACCTTTCTTTAGACAGAGCAGATTTGAAACGCTCTTTTCGTGGCTTTTGCATGTGGAGGTTTCAAACGATTTGAGGCCAATGGTAGAAAAGGAAATATCTTCGTATAAAAACTAGAGAGAATCATTCTCAGAAATTACTTTCTGATGTGTGCGTGCAACTCACGGAGATTAACCTTTCTTTTCATAGAGCAGTTTGGAAAGACTCTGTCTGTAAGGTCTGCAAGTGGATATTTAGATTTCTGTGAGGCCTTCGTTGCAAATGGGATTTCTTCATATACTCACAGACAGAAGAATTCTCAGTAACTATTTGTGTTGTGTGCATTCAACTCACGGAGTTGAACCTTCCTTTATTCGGAGCAGTTTTGAAACACTCTTTTTGTGGAATTTGCAAGTGGAGATTTCAAGGGATTTGAGGCCAATCTTAGAAATGGAAATATCTTCGAATTAAAACTACACAGAATCGTTCGCAGAAACTAGTTTGTGATGTGTGCGTTCCACTCACAGAGTTTAACGTTTCTTTTCATAGAGCAGTTTGGAAACGCTCTCTTTGTAAAGTCTCCAAGTGGATATTTGGAGCTGTTTGAGCCCTTCGTTGGAAACGGGACTTCTTCATATAATGCTAGACAGAAGAATACTCAGTAACTTCTTTGTGCTGTGTGTATTCAACTCACAGAGTTGAACTTTTCTTTAGACAGAGCAGATTTGATACTCTCTTTTCGTGGCTTTTGCCAGAGGAGATTTCAAGTCATTGGAGGCCAATGGTAGAAAAGAAAATATCTTCGTATAATAACTAAACAGAATCATTCTCAGAAACTTCTTTGTGATGTGTGCGTTCAACTCACAGAGTTTAACCTTTCTTTTCATAGAGCAGGTTGGAAGCACTCTCTTTGTAAAGTCTGCAAGCAGATATTTGGACCTTTTCGAGGCCTTCGTTGGAAACGGGATTTCTTCATATACTGCTAGACCGAAGAATTCTCAGTAACTTCTTTGGGTTGTGTGTATTCAATTCACAGAGTTGAACCTTTCTTTAGACCGAGCAGATTTGAAACTCTCCTTTCGTTGCTTTTGCAAGTGGAGATTTCAAGCGATTTGAGGCCAATTGTAGAAAAGGAAATATCTTCGTATAAAAACTAGACAGAACAATTCTCAGAAACTGCTCTGTGATTTGTGCGTTCAACTCACAGATTTTAAACTTTCTTTTCATAGAGCAGTTTGGAAACACTCTTTTTGTAAAGTCTGCAAGCGGATATTTGGACCTCTTTCAGGCCTTCTTTGGAAACGGGATTTCTCCATATACTGCTAGCCCGAAGAATTTTCAGTAAGTACTTTGTGTTGTGTGTATTCAACTCACAGATTTGAACCTTTCTTTAGACAGAGCAGTTTTGAAACGCTCTTTTTGTGGCTTTTGCAAGTAAAGATTTCAAGTGATTTGAGGCCAATGGTAGAAAAGGAAATATCTTCGTATAAAAACTAGACAGAATCGTTCTCAGAATCTACTTTGTGATGTGTGCGTGCAACTCACGGAGATTAACCTTTCTTTTCATAGAGAAGTTTGGAAACACTCTGTCTGTAAGGTCTGCAAGTGGATATTTAGATTTCTGTGAGGCCTTCGTTGCAAACGGGATTTCTTCATATACTGCCCGACAGAAGAATTCTGTTACTACTTTCTGTTGTGTGCATTCAACTCACAGAGTTGAACCTTCCTATATTCAGAGCAGTTTTGAAACACTCTTTTTGTGGAATTTGCAAGTGGAGATTTCAAGGGATTTGAGGCCAATCTTAGAAATGGAAATATCTTCGAATTAAAACTACACAGAATCATTCGCAGAAACTAGTTTGTGATGTGTGCGTTCAACTCACAGAGTTTAACGTTTCTTTTCATAGAGCAGTTTGGAAACGCTGTCTTTGTAAAGTCTGCAAGTGGATATTAGGACCTCTTTGAGGCCTTCGTTGGAAACGGGATTTCCTCCTATAATGCTAGACAGAAGAATTCCCAGTCACTTCTTTGTGTTGTGTGCATTCAACTCAGAGATTTGAACCTTCCTTTAGAGAGAGCACATTTGAAACACTCTTTTTGTGTAATTTGCTAGTGCAGATTTCAAGCTCTTCGAGGACAATGGTAGGAAAGGAAATATCTTTGTATTAAAACTAGACAAAATCATTCTCAGAAACTACTTTGTGATGTGTGCGTTCCACTCACAGACTTTAACCTTTCTTTTAATTGAGCAGTTTGGAAACACTCTCTTTGTAAAGTCTGCAGTAGGATATTTGGACCTCTTTGAGGCCTTCGTTGGAAACGGGATTTCTTCATATAATGCTAGATAGAAGAATTCTCAGTAACTTGTTTGTGTTGTGTGTATTCAACTAACAGAGTTGAACCTTCCTTTAGAAAGAGCAGTTTTGAAACACTCTGTTTGTGCAATTTCCAATGGAGATTTCTAGGGATTTGAGGCCAGTCTTAGAAATGGAAATATCTTTGTATAAAAACTAGACAGTGTCATTCTGAGATACTACCTTGTGATGTGTGCGTTCAACTCACAGAGTTTAACCTTTCTTTTCATAGAGCAGTTTGGAAACACTCTATTTGTAAAGTCTGCAAGTGGATATTTGGACCTCTTTGAGGCCTTCGTTGGAAACGGGATTTCTTCCTATAATGCTAGACAGAAGTATTCTCACTCACTTCTTTGTGTTGTGTGCATTCAACTCAGAGATTTGAACCTTCCTTTAGAGAGAGCACATTTGAAACACTCTTTTTGTGTAATTTGCTAGTGCAGATTTCAAGCTCTTCGAGGACAATGGTAGAAAAGGAAATATCTTCGTATGAAAACTAGACAAACTCATTCTCAGAAACTACTTTGTGATGTGTGCGTTCCACTCACAGAGTTTAACCTTTCTTTTAATTGAGCAGTTTGGAAACACTATTTTTGTAAAGTCTGCAAGTGGATATTTGGACTTCTTTGAGCCCTTCGTTGGAAACGGGATTTCTCCATATACTGCTAGACTGAAGCATTTTCAGTAACTACTTTGTGTTGTGTGTATTCAACTCACAGATTTGAACCTTTCTTTAGACAGAGCAGATTTGAAACGCTCTTTTCGTGGCTTTTGCATGTGGAGGTTTCAAACGATTTGAGGCCAATGGTAGAAAAGGAAATATCTTCGTATAAAAACTAGAGAGAATCATTCTCAGAAATTACTTTCTGATGTGTGCGTGCAACTCACGGAGATTAACCTTTCCTTTCATAGAGCAGTTTGGAAAGACTCTGTCTGTAAGGTCTGCAAGTCGATATTTAGATTTCTGTGAGGCCTTCGTTGCAAACGGGATTTCTTCATATACTCACAGACAGAACAATTCTCAGTAACTACTTTGTGTTGTGTAAATTCAACACACAGAGTTGAACCTTCCTTTATTCAGAGCAGTTTTGAAACACTCTTTTTGTGGAATTTGCAAATGGAGATTTCAAGGGATTTGAGGCCAATCTTAGAAATGGAAATATCTTCGAATTAAAACTACACAGAATCGTTCGCAGAAACTAGTTTGTGATGTGTGCGTTCAACTCACAGAGTTTAACTGTTTCTTTTCATAGAGCAGTTTGGAAACGCTCTCTTTGTAAAGTCTCCAAGTGGATATTTGGAGCTCTTTGAGCCCTTCGTTGGAAACGGGACTTCTTCATATAATGCTAGACAGAAGAATACTCAGTAACTTCTTTGTGCTGTGTGTATTCAACTCACAGAGTTGAAATTTTCTTTAGACAGAGCAGATTTGATACTCTCTTTTCGTGTGTTTTGCCAGAGGAGATTTCAAGTCATTGGAGGCCAATGGTAGAAAAGAAAATATCTTCGTATAATAACTAAACAGAATCATTCTCAGAAACTTCTTTGTGATGTGTGCGTTCAACTCACAGAGTTTAACCTTTCTTTTCATAGAGCAGGTTGGAAGCACTCTCTTTGTAAAGTCTGCAAGCAGATATTTGGACCTTTTTGAGGCCTTCTTTGGAAGCGGGATTTCTTCATATACTGCTAGACCGAAGAATTCTCAGTAACTTCTTTGGGTTGTGTGTATTCAATTCACAGATTTGAACCTTACTTTAGACCGAGCAGATTTGAAACTCTCCTTTTGTTGCTTTTGCAAGTGGAGATTTCAAGCGATTTGAGGCCAATTGTAGAAAAGGAAATATCTTCGTATAAAAACTAGACAGAACAATTCTCAGAAACTGCTCTGTGATTTGTGCGTTCAACTCACAGATTTTAAACTTTCTTTTCATAGAGCAGTTTGGAAACACTCTTTTTGTAAAGTCTGCAAGCGGATATTTGGACCTCTTTCAGGCCTTCTTTGGAAACGGGATTTCTCCATATACTGCTAGCCCGAAGCATTTTCAGTAACTACTTTGTGTTGTGTGTATTCAACTCACAGATTTGAACCTTTCTTTAGACAGAGCAGATTTGAAACGCTCTTTTCGTGGCTTTTGCAAGTAAAGATTTCAAGCGATTTGAGGCCAATGGTAGAAAAGGAAATATATTCGTATAAAAACTAGACAGAATCATTCTCAGAATCTACTTTGTGATGTGTGCGTGCAACTCACGGAGATTAACCTTTCTTTTCATAGAGAAGTTTGGAAACACTCTGTCTGTAAGGTCTGCAAGTGGATATTTAGATTTCTGTGAGGCCTTCGTTGCAAACGGGATTTCTTCATATACTGCCCGACAGAAGAATTCTCAGTTACTACTTTGTGTTGTGTGCATTCAACTCACAGAGTTGAACCTTCCTTTATTCAGAGCAGTTTTGAAACACTCTTTTTGTGGAATTTGCAAGTGGAGATTTCAAGGGATTTGGGTCCAATCTAAGAAATGGAAATATCTTCGAATTAAAACTACACAGAATCATTCGCAGAAACTAGTTTGTGATGTGTGCGTTCAACTCACAGAGTTTAACGTTTCTTTTCATAGAGCAGTTTGGAAACGCTGTCTTTGTAAAGTCTGCAAGTGGATATTAGGACCTCTTTGAGGCCTTCGTTGGAAACGGGATTTCCTCCTATAATGCTAGACAGAAGAATTCCCAGTCACTTCTTTGTGTTGTGTGCATTCAACTCAGAGATTTGAACCTTTCTTTAGAGAGAGCACATTTGAAACACTCTTTTTGTGTAATTTTCTATTGCAGATTTCAAGCTCTTCGAGGACAATGGTAGGAAAGGAAATATCTTCGTATTAAAACTAGACAAAATCATTCTCAGAAACTACTTTGTGATGTGTGCGTTCCACTCACAGAGTTTAACCTTTCTTTTCATTGAGCAGTTTGGAAACACTCTCTTTGTAAAGTCTGCAGTAGGATATTTGGACCTCTTTGAGGCCTTCGTTGGAAACGGGATTTCTTCATATAATGCTAGATAGAAGAATTCTCAGTAACTTGTTTGTGTTGTGTGTATTCAACTAACAGAGTTGAACCTTCCTTTAGAAAGAGCAGTTTTCAAACACTCTGTTTGTGCAATTTCCAATGGAGATTTCCAGGGATTTGAGGCCAGTCTTAGAAATGGAAATATCTTTGTATAAAAACTAGACAGTGTCATTCTGAGATACTACCTTGTGATGTGTGCGTTCAACTCACAGAGTTTAACCTTTCTTTTCATAGAGCAGTTTGGAAACACTCTATTTGTAAAGTCTGCAAGTGGATATTTGGAGCTGTTTGAGCCCTTCGTTGGAAACGGGACTTCTTCATATAATTCTAGACAGAAGAATACTCAGTAACTTCTTTGTGCTGTGTGTATTCAACTCACAGAGGTGAACTTTTCTTTAGACAGAGTAGATTTGATACTCTCTTTTCGTGGCTTTTGCCAGAGGAGATTTCAAGCGATTTCAGGCCAATTGTAGAAAAGGAAATATCTTCGTATAAAAACTAAACAGAATCATTCTAAGAAACTTCTTTGTGATGTGTGCGTTCAACTCACAGAGTTTAACCTTTCTTTTCATAGAGCAGGTTGGAAGCACTCTCTTTGTAAAGTCTGCAAGCAGATATTTGGACCTTTTTGAGGCCTTCGTTGGAAACGGGATTTCTTCATATACTGCTAGACCGAAGAATTCTCAGTAACATCTTTGGGTTGTGTGTATTCAATTCACAGAGTTGAACCTTTCTTTAGACCGAGCAGATTTGAAACTCTCCTTTCGTTGCTTTTGCAAGTGGAGATTTCAAGCGATTTGAGGCCAATTGTAGAAAAGGAAATATCTTCGTATAAAAACTAGACAGAACAATTCTCAGAAACTGCTCTGTGATTTGTGCGTTCAACTCACAGATTTTAAACTTTCTTTTCATAGAGCAGTTTGGAAGCACTCTTTTTGTAAAGTCTGCAAGCGGATATTTGGACCTCTTTCAGGCCTTCTTTGGAAACGGGATTTCTCCATATACTGCTAGCCCGAAGAATTTTCAGTAACTAATTTGTGTTGTGTGTATTCAACTCACAGATTTGAACCTTTCTTTAGACAGAGCAGATTTGAAACGCTCTTTTCGTGGCTTTTGCAAGTAAGGTTTCAAGCGATTTGAGGCCAATGGTAGAAAAGGAAATATCTTCGTATAAAAACTAGACAGAATCATTCTCAGAATCTACTTTGTGATGTGTGCGTGCAACTCACGGAGATTAACCTTTCTTTTCATAGAGAAGTTTGGAAACACTCTGTCTGTAAGGTCTGCAAGTGGATATTTAGATTTCTGTGAGGCCTTCGTTGCAAACGGGATTTCTTCATATACTGCCCGACAGAAGAATTCTCAGTTACTACTTTCTGTTGTGTGCATTCAACTCACAGAGTTGAACCTTCCTTTATTCAGAGCAGTTTTGAAACACTCTTTTTGTGGAATTTGCAAGTGGAGATTTCAAGGGATTTGAGGCCAATCTTAGAAATGGAAATATCTTCGAATTAAAACTACACAGAATCATTCGCAGAAACTAGTTTGTGATGTGTGCGTTCAACTCACACAGTTTAACGTTTCTTTTCATAGAGCAGTTTGGAAACGCTGTCTTTGTAAAGTCTGCAAGTGGATATTAGGACCTCTTTGAGGCCTTCGTTGGAAACGGGATTTCCTCCTATAATGCTAGACAGAAGAATTCCCAGTCACTTCTTTGTGTTGTGTGCATTCAACTCAGAGATTTGAACCTTTCTTTAGAGAGAGCACATTTGAAACACTCTTTTTGTGTAATTTTCTATTGCAGATTTCAAGCTCTTCGAGGACAATGGTAGGAAAGGAAATATCTTCGTATTAAAACTAGACAAAATCATTCTCAGAAACTACTTTGTGATGTGTGCGTTCCACTCACAGAGTTTAACCTTTCTTTTCATTGAGCAGTTTGGAAACACTCTCTTTGTAAAGTCTGCAGTAGGATATTTGGACCTCTTTGAGGCCTTCGTTGGAAACGGGATTTCTTCATATAATGCTAGATAGAAGAATTCTCAGTAACTTGTTTGTGTTGTGTGTATTCAACCAACAGAGTTGAACCTTCCTTTAGAAAGAGCAGTTTTCAAACACTCTGTTTGTGCAATTTCCAATGGAGATTTCTACGGATTTGAGGCCAGTCTTAGAAATGGAAATATCTTTGTATAAAAACTAGACAGTGTCATTCTGAGATACTACCTTGTGATGTGTGTGTTCAACTCACAGAGTTTAACCTTTCTTTTCATAGAGCAGTTTGGAAACACTCTATTTGTAAAGTCTGCAAGTGGATATTTGGACCTCTTTGAGGCCTTCTTTGGAAACGGGATTTCTTCCTGTAATGCTAGACAGCAGTATTCTCATTCACTTCTTTGTGTTGTGTGCATTCAACTCAGAGATTTGAACCTTCCTTTAGAGAGAGCACATTTGAAACACTCTTTTTGTGTAATTTGCTAGTGCAGATTTCAAGCTCTTCGAGGACAATGGTAGAAAAGGAAATATCTTCGTATGAAAACTAGACAAACTCATTCTCAGAAACTACTTGGTGATGTGTGCGTTCCACTCACAGAGTTTAACCTTTCTTTTAATTGAGCAGTTTGGAAACACTATTTTTGTAAAGTCTGCAAGTGGATATTTGGACTTCTTTGAGCCCTTCGTTGGAAACGGGATTTCTCCATATACTGCTAGACCGAAGCATTTTCAGTAACTACTTTGTGTTGTGTGTATTCAACTCACAGATTTGAACCTTTCTTTAGACAGAGCAGATTTGAAACGCTCTTTTCGTGGCTTTTGCATGTGGAGGTTTCAAACGATTTGAGGCCAATGGTAGAAAAGGAAATATCTTCGTATAAAAACTAGAGAGAATCATTCTGAGAAATTACTTTCTGATGTGTGCGTGCAACTCACGGAGATTAACCTTTCTTTTCATAGAGCAGTTTGGAAAGACTCTGTCTGTAAGGTCTGCAAGTGGATATTTAGATTTCTGTGAGGCCTTCGTTGCAAACGGGATTTCTTCATATACTCACAGACAGAAGAATTCTCAGTAACTCTTTGTGTTGTGTGCATTCAACTCACGGAGTTGAACCTTCCTTTATTCAGAGCAGTTTTGAAACACTCTTTTTGTGGAATTTGCAAGTGGAGATTTCAAGGGATTTGAGGCCAATCTTAGAAATGGAAATATCTTCGAATTAAAACTACACAGAATCGTTCGCAGAAACTAGTTTGTGATGTGTGCGTTCAACTCACAGAGTTTAACGTTTCTTTTCATAGAGCAGTTTGGAAACGCTCTCTTTGTAAAGTCTCCAAGTGGATATTTGGAGCTCTTTGAGCCCTTCGTCGGAAACGGGACTTCTTCACATAATGCTAGACAGAAGAATACTCAGTAACTTCTTTGTGCTGTGTGTATTCAACTCACAGAGTTGAACTTTTCTTTAGACAGAGCAGATTTGATACTCTCTTTTCGTGGGTTTTGCCAGAGGAGATTTCAAGTCATTGGAGGCCAATGGTAGAAAAGAAAATATCTTCGTATAATAACTAAACAGAATCATTCTCAGAAACTTCTTTGTGATGTGTGCGTTCAACTCACAGAGTTTAACCTTTCTTTTCATAGAGCAGGTTGGAAGCACTCTCTTTGTAAAGTCTGCAAGCAGATATTTGGACCTTTTTGAGGCCTTCGTTGGAAACGGGATTTCTTCATATACTGCTAGACCGAAGAATTCTCAGTAACTTCTTTGGGTTGTGTGTATTCAATTCACAGAGTTGAACCTTTCTTTAGACCGAGCAGATTTGAAACTCTCCTTTCGTTGCTTTTGCAAGTGGAGATTTCAAGCGATTTGAGGCCAATTGTAGAAAAGGAAATATCTTCGTACAAAAACTAGACAGAACAATTCTCAGAAACTGCTCTGTGATTTGTGCGTTCAACTCACAGATTTTAAACTTTCTTTTCATAGAGCAGTTTGGAAACACTCTTTTTGTAAAGTCTGCAAGCGGATATTTGGACCTCTTTCAGGCCTTCTTTGGAAACGGGATTTCTCCATATACTGCTAGCCCGAAGAATTTTCAGTAACTACTTTGTGTTGTGTGTATTCAACTCACAGATTTGAACCTTTCTTTAGACAGAGCAGATTTGAAACGCTCTTTTCGTGGCTTTTGCAAGTAAAGATTTCAAGCGATTTGAGGCCAATGGTAGAAAAGGTAATATCTTCGTATAAAAACTAGACAGAATCATTCTCAGAATCTACTTTGTGATGTGTGCGTGCAACTCACGGAGATTAACCTTTCTTTTCATAGAGAAGTTTGGAAACACTCTGTCTGTAAGGTCTGCAAGTGGATATTTAGATTTCTGTGAGGCCTTCGTTGCAAACGGGATTTCTTCATATACTGCCCGACAGAAGAATTCTCAGTTACTACTTTCAGTTGTGTGCATTCAACTCACAGAGTTGAACCTTCCTTTATTCAGAGCAGTTTTGAAACACTCTTTTTGTGGAATTTGCAAGTGGAGATTTCAAGGGATTTGAGGCCAATCTTAGAAATGGAAATATCTTCGAATTAAAACTACACAGAATCACTCGCAGAAACTAGTTTGTGATGTGTGTGTTCAACTCACAGAGTTTAACGTTTCTTTTCATAGAGCAGTTTGGAAACGCTGTCTTTGTAAAGTCTGCAAGTGGATATTAGGACCTCTTTGAGGCCTTCGTTGGAAACGGGATTTCCTCCTATAATGCTGGACAGAAGAATTCCCAGTCACTTCTTTGTGTTGTGTGCATTCAACTCAGAGATTTGAACCTTCCTTTAGAGAGAGCACATTTAAAACACTCTTTTTGTGTAATTTGCTAGTGCAGATTTCAAGCTCTTCGAGGACAATGGTAGAAAAGGAAATATCTTCGTATGAAAACTAGACAAACTCATTCTCAGAAACTACTTTGTGATGTGTGCGTTCCACTCACAGAGTTTAACCTTTCTTTTAATTTAGCAGTTTGGAAACACTATTTTTGTAAAGTCTGCAAGTGGATATTTGGACTTCTTTGAGCCCTTCGTTGGAAACGGGATTTCTCCATATACTGCTAGACCGAAGCATTTTCAGTAACTACTTTGTGTTGTGTGTATTCAACTCACAGATTTGAACCTTTCTTTAGACAGAGCAGATTTGAAACGCTCTTCTCGTGGCTTTTGCATGTGGAGGTTTCAAACGATTTGAGGCCAATGGTAGAAAAGGAAATATCTTCGTATAAAAACTAGAGAGAATCATTCTCAGAAATTACTTTCTGATGTGTGCGTGCAACTCACGGAGATTAACCTTTCTTTTCATAGAGCAGTTTGGAAAGACTCTGTCTGTAAGGTCTGCAAGTGGATATTTAGATTTCTGTGAGGCCTTCGTTGCAAACGGGATTTCTTCATATACTGCCCGACAGAAGAATTCTCAGTTACTACTTTCTGTTGTGTGCATTCAACTCACAGAGTTGACCCTTCCTTTATTCAGAGCAGTTTTGAAACACTCTTTTTGTGGAATTTGCAAGTGGAGATTTCAAGGGATTTGAGGCCAATCTTAGAAATGGAAATATCTTCGAATTAAAACTACACAGAATCATTCGCAGAAACTAGTTTGTGATGTGTGCGTTCAACTCACAGAGTTTAACGTTTCTTTTCATAGAGCAGTTTGGAAACGCTGTCTTTGTAAAGTCTGCAAGTGGATATTTGGACCTCTTTGAGGCCTTCGTTGGAAACGGGATTTCCTCCTGTAAGGCTAGACAGAAGAATTCCCAGTCACTTCTTTGTGTTGTGTGCATTCAACTCAGAGATTTGAACCTTCCTTTAGAGAGAGCACATTTAAAACACTCTTTTTGTGTAATTTGCTAGTGCAGATTTCAAGCTCTTCGAGGACAATGGTAGGAAAGGAAATATCTTCGTATGAAAACTAGACAAAATCATTCTCAGAAACTACTTTGTGATGTGTGCGTTCCACTCACAGAGTTTAACCTTTCTTTTCATTGAGCAGTTTGGAAACACTCTCTTTGTAAAGTCTGCAGTAGGATATTTGGACCTCTTTGAGGCCTTCGTTGGAAACGGGATTTCTTCATATAATGCTAGATAGAAGAATTCTCAGTAACTTGTTTGTGTTGTGTGTATTCAACTAACAGAGTTGAACCTTCCTTTAGAAAGAGCAGTTTTCAAACACTCTGTTTGTGCAATTTCCAATGGAGATTTCTAGGGATTTGAGGCCAGTCTTAGAAATGGAAATATCTTTGTATAAAAACTAGACAGTGTCATTCTGAGATACTACCTTGTGATGTGTGCGTTCAACTCACAGAGTTTAACCTTTCTATTCATAGAGCAGTTTGGAAACACTCTATTTGTAAAGTCTGCAAGTGGATATTTGGACCTCTTTGAGGCCTTCGTTGGAAACGGGATTTCTTCCTATAATGCTAGACAGAAGTATTCTCAGTCACTTCTTTGTGTTGTGTGCATTCAACTCAGAGATTTGAACCTTCTTTAGAGAGAGCACATTTGAAACACTCTTTTTGTGTAATTTGCTAGTGCAGATTTCAAGCTCTTCGAGGACAATGGTAGAAAAGGAAATATCTTCGTATGAAAACTAGACAAACTCATTCTCAGAAACTACTTTGTGATGTGTGCGTTCCACTCACAGAGTTTAACCTTTCTTTTAATTGAGCAGTTTGGAAACACTATTTTTGTAAGGTCTGCAAGTGGATATTTGGACTTCTTTGAGCCCTTCGTTGGAAACGGGATTTCTCCATATACTGCTAGACCGAAGCATTTTCAGTAACTACTTTGTGTTGTGTGTATTCAACTCACAGATTTGAACCTTTCTTTAGACAGAGCAGATTTGAAACGCTCTTTTCGTGGCTGTTGCATGTGGAGGTTTCAAACGATTTGAGGCCAATGGTAGAAAAGGAAATATCTTCGTATAAAAACTAGAGAGAATCATTCTCAGAAATTACTTTCTGATGTGTGCGTGCAACTCACGGAGATTAACCTTTCTTTTCATAGAGCAGTTTGGAAAGACTCTGTCTGTAAGGTCTGCAAGTGGATATTTAGATTTCTGTGAGGCCTTCGTTGCAAACGGGATTTCTTCATATACTGCCCGACAGAAGAATTCTCAGTAACTCTTTGTGTTGTGTGCATTCAACTCACGGAGTTGAACCTTCCTTTATTCAGAGCAGTTTTGAAACACTCTTTTTGTGGAATTTGCAAGTGGAGATTTCAAGGGATTTGAGGCCAATCTTAGAAATGGAAATATCTTCGAATTAAAACTACACAGAATCGTTCGCAGAAACTAGTTTGTGATGTGTGCGTTCAACTCACAGAGTTTAACGTTTCTTTTCATAGAGCAGTTTGGAAACGCTCTCTTTGTAAAGTCTCCAAGTGGATATTTGGAGCTGTTTGAGCCCTTCGTTGGAAACGGGACTTCTTCATATAATGCTAGACAGAAGAATACTCAGTAACTTCTTTGTGCTGTGTGTATTCAACTCACAGAGTTGAACTTTTCTTTAGACAGAGCAGATTTGATTCTCTCTTTTCGTGGCTTTTGCCAGAGGAGATTTCAAGTCATTGGAGACCAATGGTAGAAAAGAAAATATCTTCGTATAATAACTAAACAGAATCATTCTCAGAAACTTCTTTGTGATGTGTGCGTTCAACTCACAGAGTTTAACCTTTCTTTTCATAGAGCAGGTTGGAAGCACTCTCTTTGTAAAGTCTGCAAGCAGATATTTGGACCTTTTTGAGGCCTTCGTTGGAAACGGGATTTCTTCATATACTGCTAGACCGAAGAATTCTCAGTAACTTCTTTGGGTTGTGTGTATTCAATTCACAGAGTTGAACCTTTCTTTAGACCGAGCAGATTTGAAACTCTCCTTTCGTTGCTTTTGCAAGTGGAGATTTCAAGCGATTTGAGGCCAATTGTAGAAAAGGAAATATCTTCGTATAAAAACTACACAGAACAGTTCTCAGAAACTGCTCTGTGATTTGTGCGTTCAACTCACAGATTTTAAACTTTCTTTTCATAGAGCAGTTTGGAAACACTCTTTTTGTAAAGTCTGCAAGCGGATATTTGGACCTCTTTCAGGCCTTCTTTGGAAACGGGATTTCTCCATATACTGCTAGCCCGAAGCATTTTCAGTAACTACTTTGTGTTGTGTGTATTCAACTCACAGATTTGAACCTTTCTTTAGACAGAGCAGATTTGAAACGCTCTTTTCGTGGCTTTTGCAAGTAAAGATTTCAAGCGATTTGAGGCCAATGGTAGAAAAGGAAATATCTTCGTATAAAAACTAGACAGAATCATTCTCAGAATCTACTTTGTGATGTGTGCGTGCAACTCACGGAGATTAACCTTTCTTTTCATAGAGAAGTTTGGAAACACTCTGTCTGTAAGGTTTGCAAGTGGATATTTAGATTTCTGTGAGGCCTTCGTTGCAAACGGGTTTCTTCATATACTGTCCGACAGAAGAATTCTCAGTTACTACTTTGTGTTGTGTGCATTCAACTCACAGAGTTGAACCTTCCTTTATTCAGAGCAGTTTTGAAACACTCTTTTTGTGGAATCTGCAAGTGGAGATTTCAAGGGATTTGAGGCCAATCTTAGAAATGGAAATATCTTCGAATTAAAACTACACAGAATCATTCGCAGAAACTAGTTTGTGATGTGTGCGTTCAACTCACAGAGTTTAACGTTTCTTTTCATAGAGCAGTTTGGAAACGCTGTCTTTGTAAAGTCTGCAAGTGGATATTAGGACCTCTTTGAGGCCTATGTTGGAAACGGGATTTCCTCCTATAATGGTAGACGGAAGAATTCCCAGTCACTTCTTTGTGTTGTGTGCATTCAACTCAGAGATTTGAACCTTCCTTTAGAGAGAGCACATTTAAAACACTCTTTTTGTGTAATTTGCTAGTGCAGATTTCAAGCTCTTCGAGGACAATGGTAGGAAAGGAAATATCTTCGTATTAAAACTAGACAAAATCATTCTCAGAAACTACTTTGTGATGTGTGCGTTCCACTCACAGAGTTTAACCTTTCTTTTAATTGAGCAGTTTGGAAACACTCTCTTTGTAAAGTCTGCAGTAGGATATTTGGACCTCTTTGAGGCCTTCGTTGGAAACGGGATTTCTTCATATAATGCTAGATAGAAGAGTTCTCAGTAACTTGTTTGTGTTGTGTGTATTCAACTAACAGAGTTGAACCTTCCTTTAGAAAGAGCAGTTTTCAAACACTCTGTTTGTGCAATTTCCAATGGAGATTTCTAGGGATTTGAGGCCAGTCTTAGAAATGGAAATATCTTTGTATAAAAACTAGACAGTACAATTCTCAGAAACTACTCTGTGATGTGTGCGTGCAACTCACAGAGATTAACCTTTCTTTTCATACAGCAGTTTGGAAAGACTCTGTCTGTAAAGTCTGTAAGTGGATATTTGGACATCTTTGAGGCCTTCGTTGGAAACGGGATTTCTTCATATACTGCTAGACAGAAGTATTCTCAGTCACTTCTTTGTGTTGTGTGCATTCAACTCAGGGATTTGAACCTTCCTTTAGAGAGAGCACATTTGAAACACTCTTTTTGTGTAATTTGCTAGTGCAGATTTCAAGCTCTTCGAGGACAATGGTAGAAAAGGAAATATCTTCGTATGAAAACTAGACAAAATCATTCTCAGAAACTACTTTGTGATGTGTGCGTTCCACTCACAGAGTTTAACCTTTCTTTTAATTGAGCAGTTTGGAAACACTATTTTTGTAAAGTCTGCAAGTGGATATTTGGACTTCTTTGAGCCCTTCGTTGGAAACGGGATTTCTCCATATACTGCTAGACCAAAGCATTTTCAGTAACTACTTTGTGTTGTGTGTATTCAACTCACAGATTTGAACCTTTCTTTAGACAGAGCAGATTTGAAACGCTCTTCTCGTGGCTTTTGCATGTGGAGGTTTCAAACGATTTGAGGCCAATGGTAGAAAAGGAAATATCTTCGTATAAAAACTAGACAGAGTCATTCTGAGATACTACCTTGTGATGTGTGTGTTCAACTCACAGAGTTTAACCTTTCTTTTCATAGAGCAGTTTGGAAAGACTCTGTCTGTAAGGTCTGCAAGTGGATATTTAGATTTCTGGGAGGCCTTCGTTGCAAACGGGATTTCTTCATATACTCACAGACAGAAGAATTCTCAGTAACTCTTTGTGTTGTGTGCATTCAACTCACGGAGTTGAACCTTCCTTTATTCAGAGCAGTTTTGAAACACTCTTTTTGTGGAATTTGCAAGTGGAGATTTCAAGGGATTTGAGGCCAATCTTAGAAATGGAAATATCTTCGAATTAAAACTACACAGAATCGTTCGAAGAAACTAGTTTGTGATGTGTGCGTTCAACTCACAGAGTTTAACGTTTCTTTTCATAGAGCAGTTTGGAAACGCTCTCTTTGTAAAGTCTCCAAGTGGATATTTGGAGCTGTTTGAGCCCTTCGTTGGAAACGGGACTTCTTCATATAATGCTAGACAGAAGAATACTCAGTAACTTCTTTGTGCTGTGTGTATTCAACTCACAGAGTTGAACTTTTCTTTAGACAGAGCAGATTTGATACTCTCTTTTCGTGGCTTTTGCCAGAGGAGATTTCAAGTCATTGGAGGCCAATGGTAGAAAAGAAAATATCTTCGTATAATAACTAAACAGAATCATTCTCAGAAACTTCTTTGTGATGAGTGCGTTCAACTCACAGAGTTTAACCTTTCTTTTCATAGAGCAGGTTGGAAGCCCTCTCTTTGTAAAGTCTGCAAGCAGATATTTGGACCTTTTTGAGGCCTTCGTTGGAAACTGGATTTCTTCATATACTGCTAGACCGAAGAATTCTCAGTAACTTCTTTG
The DNA here is from genome assembly GCF_000001405.40 of Homo sapiens. Lineage (NCBI taxonomy): Eukaryota > Metazoa > Chordata > Mammalia > Primates > Hominidae > Homo > Homo sapiens. The sequence continues at coordinate 39,800,880 of NC_000010.11, forward strand.
GGTTGTGTGTATTCAATTCACAGAGTTGAACCTTTCTTTAGACCGAGCAGATTTGAAACTCTCCTTTCGTTGCTTTTGCAAGTGGAGATTTCAAGCGATTTGAGGCCAATTGTAGAAAAGGAAATATCTTCGTATAAAAACTAGACAGAACAATTCTCAGAAACTGCTCTGTGATTTGTGCGTTGAACTCACAGATTTTAAACTTTCTTTTCATAGAGCAGTTTGGAAACACTCTTTTTGTAAAGTCTGCAAGCGGATATTTGGACCTCTTTCAGGCCTTCTTTGGAAACGGGATTTCTCCATATACTGCTAGCCCGAAGAATTTTCAGTAACTAATTTGTGTTGTGTGTATTCAACTCACAGATTTGAACCTTTCTTTAGACAGAGCAGATTTGAAACGCTCTTTTCGTGGCTTTTGCAAGTAAAGATTTCAAGCGATTTGAGGCCAATGGTAGAAAAGGAAATATCTTCGTATAAAAACTAGACAGAATCATTCTCAGAATCTACTTTGTGATGTGTGCGTGCAACTCACGGAGATTAACCTTTCTTTTCATAGAGAAGTTTGGAAACACTCTGTCTGTAAGGTCTGCAAGTGGATATTTAGATTTCTGTGAGGCCTTCGTTGCAAACGGGATTTCTTCATATACTGCCCGACAGAAGAATTCTCAGTTACTACTTTCTGCTGTGTGCATTCAACTCACAGAGTTGAACCTTCCTTTATTCAGAGCAGTTTTGAAACACTCTTTTTGTGGAATTTGCAAGTGGAGATTTCAAGGGATTTGAGGCCAATCTTAGAAATGGAAATATCTTCGAATTAAAACTACACAGAATCATTCGCAGAAACTAGTTTGTGATGTGTGCGTTCAACTCACAGAGTTTAACGTTTCTTTTCATAGAGCAGTTTGGAAACGCTGTCTTTGTAAAGTCTGCAAGTGGATATTAGGACCTCTTTGAGGCCTTCGTTGGAATCGGGATTTCCTCCTGTAATGCTAGACAGAAGAATTCCCAGTCACTTCTTTGTGTTGTGGGCATTCAACTCAGAGATTTGAACCTTCCTTTAGAGAGAGCACATTTAAAACACTCTTTTTGTGTAATTTGCTAGTGCAGATTTCAAGCTCTTCGAGGACAATGGTAGGAAAGGAAATATCTTCGTATTAAAACTAGACAAAATCATTCTCAGAAACTACTTTGTGATGTGTGCGTTCCACTCACAGAGTTTAACCTTTCTTTTAATTGAGCAGTTTGGAAACACTCTCTTTGTAAAGTCTGCAGTAGGATATTTGGACCTCTTTGAGGCCTTCGTTGGAAACGGGATTTCTTCATATAATGCTAGATAGAAGAATTCTCAGTAACTTGTTTGTGTTGTGTGTATTCAACTAACAGAGTTGAACCTTCCTTTAGAAAGAGCAGTTTTCAAACACTCTGTTTGTGCAATTTCCAATGGAGATTTCCAGGGATTTGAGGCCAGTCTTAGAAATGGAAATATCTTTGTATAAAAACTAGACAGTGTCATTCTGAGATACTACCTTGTGATGTGTGCGTTCAACTCACAGAGTTTAACCTTTCTTTTCATAGAGCAGTTTGGAAACACTCTATTTGTAAAGTCTGCAAGTGGATATTTGGACCTCTTTGAGGCCTTCGTTGGAAACGGGATTTCTTCCTATAATGCTAGACAGAAGTATTCTCAGTCACTTCTTTGTGTTGTGTGCATTCAACTCAGAGATTTGAACCTTCCTTTAGAGAGAGCACATTTGAAACACTCTTTTTGTGTAATTTGCTAGTGCAGATTTCAAGCTCTTCGAGGACAATGGTAGAAAAGGAAATATCTTCGTATGAAAACTAGACAAAATCATTCTCAGAAACTACTTTGTGATGTGTGCGTTCCACTCACAGAGTTTAACCTTTCTTTTAATTGAGCAGTTTGGAAACACTATTTTTGTAAAGTCTGCAAGTGGATATTTAGACTTCTTTGAGCCCTTCGTTGGAAACGGGATTTCTCCATATACTGCTAGACCAAAGCATTTTCAGTAACTACTTTGTGTTGTGTGTATTCAACTCACAGATTTGAACCTTTCTTTAGACAGAGCAGATTTGAAACGCTCTTTTCGTGGCTTTTGCATGTGGAGGTTTCAAACGATTTGAGGCCAATGGTAGAAAAGGAAATATCTTCGTATAAAAACTAGAGAGAATCATTCTCAGAAATTACTTTCTGATGTGTGCGTGCAACTCACGGAGATTAACCTTTCTTTTCATAGAGCAGTTTGGAAAGACTCTGTCTGTAAGGTCTGCAAGTGGATATTTAGATTTCCGTGAGGCCTTCGTTGCAAACGGGATTTCTTCATATACTCACAGACAGAAGAATTCTCAGTAACTCTTTGTGTTGTGTGCATTCAACTCACGGAGTTGAACCTTCCTTTATTCAGAGCAGTTTTGAAACACTCTTTTTGTGGAATTTGCAAGTGGAGATTTCAAGGGATTTGAGGCCAATCTTAGAAATGGAAATATCTTCGAATTAAAACTACACAGAATCGTTCGCAGAAACTAGTTTGTGATGTGTGCGTTCAACTCACAGAGTTTAACGTTTCTTTTCATAGAGCAGTTTGGAAACGCTCTCTTTGTAAAGTCTCCAAGTGGATATTTGGAGCTGTTTGAGCCCTTCGTTGGAAACGGGACTTCTTCATATAATGCTAGACAGAAGAATACTCAGTAACTTCTTTGTGCTGTGTGTATTCAACTCACAGAGTTGAACTTTTCTTTAGACAGAGCAGATTTGATACTCTCTTTTCATGGGTTTTGCCAGAGGAGATTTCAAGTCATTGGAGGCCAATGGTAGAAAAGAAAATATCTTCGTATAATAACTAAACAGAATCATTCTCAGAAACTTCTTTGTGATGTGTGCGTTCAACTCACAGAGTTTAACCTTTCTTTTCATAGAGCAGGTTGGAAGCACTCTCTTTGTAAAGTCTGCAAGCAGATATTTAGAACTTTTTGAGGCCTCCGTTGGAAACGGGATTTCTTCATATACTGCTAGACCGAAGAATTCTCAGTAACTTCTTTGGGTTGTGTGTATTCAATTCACAGAGTTGAACCTTTCTTTGGACCGAGCAGATTTGAAACTCTCCTTTCGTTGCTTTTGCAAGTGGAGATTTCAAGCGATTTGAGGCCAATTGTAGAAAAGGAAATATCTTCGTATAAAAACTAGACAGAACAATTCTCAGAAACTGCTCTGTGATTTGTGCGTTCAACTCACAGATTTTAAACTTTCTTTTCATAGAGCAGTTTGGAAACACTCTTTTTGTAAAGTCTGCAAGCGGATATTTGGACCTCTTTCAGGCCTTCTTTGGAAACGGGATTTCTCCATATACTGCTAGCCCGAAGAATTTTCAGTAACTACTTTGTGTTGTGTGTATTCAACTCACAGATTTGAACCTTTCTTTAGACAGAGCAGATTTGAAACGCTCTTTTCGTGGCTTTTGCAAGTAAAGATTTCAAGCGATTTGAGGCCAATGGTAGAAAAGGAAATATCTTCGTATAAAAACTAGACAGAATCATTCTCAGAATCTACTTTGTGATGTGTGCGTGCAACTCACGGAGATTAACCTTTCTTTTCATAGAGAAGTTTGGAAACACTCTGTCTGTAAGGTCTGCAGGTGGATATTTAGATTTCTGTGAGGCCTTCGTTGCAAACGGGATTTCTTCATAGTGCCCGACAGAAGAATTCTCAGTTACTACTTTCTGTTGTGTGCATTCAACTCACAGAGTTGAACCTTCCTTTATTCAGAGCAGTTTTGAAACACTCTTTTTGTGGCATTTGCAAGTGGAGATTTCAAGGGATTTGAGGCCAATCTTAGAAATGGAAATATCTTCGAATTAAAACTACGCAGAATCATTCGCAGAAACTAGTTTGTGATGTGTGCGTTCAACTCACAGAGTCTAACGTTTCTTTTCATAGAGCAGTTTGGAAACGCTGTCTTTGTAAAGTCTGCAAGTGGATATTAGGACCTCTTTGAGGCCTTCGTTGGAAACGGGATTTCCTCCTATAATGCTAGACAGAGGAATTCTCAGTAACTTCTTTGTGTTGTGTGTATTCAACTCACAGAGTTGAACCTTCCTTTATTCAGAGCAGTTTTGAAATACTCTTTTTGTGGAATTTGCAAGTGGAGATTTAAAGTGATTTGAGGCCAATCTTAGAAATGGAAATATCTTCAAATTAAAACTACACAGAATCATTCGCAGAAACTAGTCTGTGATGTGTGGGTTCAACTCACAGAGTTTCACCTTTGTTTTCATTGAGCAGTTTGGAAACACTCTGTTTGTAAGGTCTGCAAGTGGATAGTTCGATCTCTTTGAGGCCTTCGTTGGAAACGGGATTTCTTCACATAATGCTAGACAGAAGAATTCTCAGTAACTTGTTTGTGTTGTGTGTATTCAACTAACAGAGTTGAACCTTCCTTTAGAAAGAGCAGTTTTCAAACACTCTGTTTGTGCAATTTCCAATGGAGATTTCTAGGGGTTTGAGGCCAGTCTTAGAAATGGAAATATCTTTGTATAAAAACTAGACAGTGTCATTCTGAGATACTACCTTGTGATGTGTGCGTTCAACTCACAGAGTTTAACCTTTCTTTTCATAGAGCAGTTTGGAAACACTCTATTTGTAAAGTCTGCAAGTGGATATTTGGACCTCTTTGAGGCCTTCGTTGGAAACGGGATTTCTTCCTATAATGCTAGACAGAAGTATTCTCAGTCACTTCTTTGTGTTGTGTGCATTCAACTCAGAGATTTGAACCTTCCTTTAGAGAGAGCACATTTGAAACACTCTTTTTGTGTAATTTGCTAGTGCAGATTTCAAGCTCTTCGAGGACAATGGTAGAAAAGGAAATATCTTCGTATGAAAACTAGACAAACTCATTCTCAGAAACTACTTTGTGATGTGTGCGTTCCACTCACAGAGTTTAACCTTTCTTTTAATTGAGCTGTTTGGAAACACTATTTTTGTAAAGTCTGCAAGTGGATATTTGGACTTCTTTGAGCCCTTCGTTGGAAAGGGGACTTCTTCATATAATGCTAGACAGAAGCATTTTCAGTAACTACTTTGTGTTGTGTGTATTCAACTCACAGATTTGAACCTTTCTTTAGACAGAGCAGATTTGAAACGCTCTTTTCGTGGCTTTTGCATGTGGAGGTTTCAAACGATTTGAGGCCAATGGTAGAAAAGGAAATATCTTCGTATAAAAACTAGAGAGAATCATTCTCAGAAATTACTTTCTGATGTGTGCGTGCAACTCACGGAGATTAACCTTTCTTTTCATAGAGCAGTTTGTTAAGACTCTGTCTGTAAGGTCTGCAAGTGGATATTTAGATTTCTGTGAGGCCTTCGTTGCAAACGGGATTTCTTCATATACTCACAGACAGAAGAATTCTCAGTAACTCTTTGTGTTGTGTGCATTCAACTCACGGAGTTGAACCTTCCTTTATTCAGAGCAGTTTTGAAACACTCTTTTTGTGGAATTTGCAAGTGGAGATTTCAAGGGATTTGAGGCCAATCTTAGAAATGGAAATATCTTCGAATTAAAACTACACAGAATCGTTCGCAGAAACTAGTTTGTGATGTGTGCGTTCAACTCACAGACTTTAACGTTTCTTTTCATAGAGCAGTTTGGAAACGCTCTCTTTGTAAAGTCTCCAAGTGGATATTTGGAGCTGTTTGAGCCCTTCGTTGGAAACGGGACTTCTTCATATAATGCTAGACAGAAGAATACTCAGTAACTTCTTTGTGCTGTGTGTATTCAACTCACAGAGTTGAACTTTTCTTTATACAGAGCAGATTTGATACTCTCTTTTCGTGTGTTTTGCCAGAGGAGATTTCAAGTCATTGGAGGCCAATGGTAGAAAAGAAAATATCTTCGTATAATAACTAAACAGAATCATTCTCAGAAACTTCTTTGTGATGTGTGCCGTTCAACTCACAGAGTTTAACCTTTCTTTTCATAGAGCAGGTTGGAAGCACTCTCTTTGTAAAGTCTGCAAGCAGATATTTGGACCTTTTTGAGGCCTTCGTTGGAAACGGGATTTCTTCATATACTGCTAGACCGAAGAATTCTCAGTAACTTCTTTGGGTTGTGTGTATTCAATTCACAGAGTTGAACCTTTCTTTAGACCGAGCAGATTTGAAACTCTCCTTTCGTTGCTTTTGCAAGTGGAGATTTCAAGCGATTTGAGGCCAATTGTAGAAAAGGAAATATCTTCGTATAAAAACTAGACAGAACAATTCTCAGAAACTGCTCTGTGATTTGTGCGTTCAACTCACAGATTTTAAACTTTCTTTTCATAGAGCAGTTTGGAAACACTCTTTTTGTAAAGTCTGCAAGCGGATATTTGGACCTCTTTCAGGCCTTCTTTGCAAACGGGATTTCTCCATATACTGCTAGCCCGAAGAATTTTCAGTAACTACTTTGTGTTGTGTGTATTCAACTCACAGATTTGAACCTTTCTTTAGACAGAGCAGATTTGAAACGCTCTTTTCGTGGCTTTTGCAAGTAAAGATTTCAAGCGATTTGAGGCCAATGGTAGAAAAGGAAATATCTTCGTATAAAAACTAGACAGAATCATTCTCAGAATCTACTTTGTGATGTGTGCGTGCAACTCACGGAGATTAACCTTTCTTTTCATAGAGAAGTTTGGAAACACTGTCTGTAAGGTCTGCAAGTGGATATTTAGATTTCTGTGAGGCCTTCGTTGCAAACGGGATTTCTTCATATACTGCCCGACAGAAGAATTCTCAGTTACTACTTTCTGTTGTGTGCATTCAACTCACAGAGTTGAACCTTCCTTTATTCAGAGCAGTTTTGAAACACGCTTTTTGTGGAATTTGCAAGTGGAGATTTCAAGGGATTTGAGGCCAATCTTAGAAATGGAAATATCTTCGAATTAAAACTACACAGAATCGTTCGCAGAAACTAGTTTGTGATGTGTGTGTTCAACTCACAGAGTTTAACGTTTCTTTTCATAGAGCAGTTTGGAAACGCTGTCTTTGTAACGTCTGCAAGTGGATATTAGGACCTCTTTGAGGCCTTCGTTGGAAACGGGATTTCCTCCTATAATGCTGGACAGAAGAATTCCAAGTCACTTCTTTGTGTTGTGTGCATTCAACTCAGAGATTTGAACCTTCCTTTAGAGAGAGCACATTTAAAACACTCTTTTTGTGTAATTTGCTAGTGCAGATTTCAAGCTCTTCGAGGACAATGGTAGGAAAGGAAATATCTTCGTATTAAAACTAGACAAAATCATTCTCAGAAACTACTTTGTGATGTGTGCGTTCCACTCACAGAGTTTAACCTTTCTTTTAATTGAGCAGTTTGGAAACACTCTCTTTGTAAAGTCTGCAGTAGGATATTTGGACCTCTTTGAGGCCTTCGTTGGAAACGGGATTTCTTCATATAATGCTAGATAGAAGAATTCTCAGTAACTTGTTTGTGTTGTGTGTATTCAACTAACAGAGTTGAACCTTCCTTTAGAAAGAGCAGTTTTCAAACACTCTGTGCAATTTCCAATGGAGATTTCTAGGGATTTGAGGCCAGTCTTAGAAATGGAAATATCTTTGTATAAAAACTAGACAGTGTCATTCTGAGATACTACCTTGTGATGTGTGCGTTCACCTCACAGAGTTTAACCTTTCTTGTCATACAGCAGTTTGGAAACACTCTATTTGTAAAGTCTGCAAGTGGATATTTGGACCTCTTTGAGGCCTTCGTTGGAAATGGGATTTCTTCCTGTAATGCTAGACAAAAGTATTCTCAGTCACTTCTTTGTGTTGTGTGCATTCAACTCAGAGATTTGAACCTTCCTTTAGAGAGAGCACATTTGAAACACTCTTTTTGTGTAATTTGCTAGTGCAGATTTCAAGCTCTTCGAGGACAATGGTAGAAAAGGAAATATCTTCGTATGAAAACTAGACAAACTCATTCTCAGAAACTACTTTGTGATGTGTGCGTTCCACTCACAGAGTTTAACCTTTCTTTTAATTGAGCAGTTTGGAAACACTATTTTTGTAAAGTCTGCAAGTGGATATTTGGACTTCTTTGAGCCCTTCGTTGGAAACGGGATTTCTCCATATACTGCTAGACTGAAGCATTTTCAGTAACTACTTTGTGTTGTGTGTATTCAACTCACAGATTTGAACCTTTCTTTAGACAGAGCAGATTTGAAACGCTCTTTTCGTGGCTTTTGCATGTGGAGGTTTCAAACGATTTGAGGCCAATGGTAGAAAAGGAAATATCTTCGTATAAAAACTAGAGAGAATCATTCTCAGAAATTACTTTCTGATGTGTGCGTGCAACTCACAGAGATTAACCTTTCTTTTCATAGAGCAGTTTGGAAAGACTCTGTCTGTAAGGTCTGCAAGTGGATATTTAGATTTCTGTGAGGCCTTCGTTGCAAACGGGATTTCTTCATATACTCACAGACAGAAGAATTCTCAGTAACTACTTTGTGTTGTGTAAATTCAACACACAGAGTTGAACCTTCCTTTATTCAGAGCAGTTTTGAAACACTCTTTTTGTGGAATTTGCAAGTGGAGATTTCAAGGGATTTGAGGCCAATCTTAGAAATGGAAATATCTTCGAATTAAAACTACAGAGAATCGTTCGCAGAAACTAGTTTGTGATGTGTGCGTTCAACTCACAGAGTTTAACGTTTCTTTTCATAGAGCAGTTTGGAAACGCTCTCTTTGTAAAGTCTCCAAGTGGATATTTGGAGCTGTTTGAGCCCTTCGTTGGAAACGGGACTTCTTCATATAATGCTAGACAGAAAGAATACTCAGTAACTTCTTTGTGCTGTGTGTATTCAACTCACAGAGTTGAACTTTTCTTTAGACAGAGCAGATTTGATACTCTCTTTTCGTGGCTTTTGCCAGAGGAGATTTCAACTCATTGGAGGCCAATGGTAGAAAAGAAAATATCTTCGTATAATAACTAAACAGAATCATTCTCAGAAACTTCTTTGTGATGTGTGCGTTCAACTCACAGAGTTTAACCTTTCTTTTCATAGAGCAGGTTGGAAGCACTCTCTTTGTAAAGTCTGCAAGCAGATATTTGGACCTTTTTGAGGCCTTCGTTGGAAACGGGATTTCTTCATATACTGCTAGACCGAAGAATTCTCAGTAACTTCTTTGGGTTGTGTGTATTCAATTCACAGAGTTGAACCTTTCTTTAGACCGAGCAGATTTGAAACTCTCCTTTCGTTGCTTTTGCAAGTGAAGATTTCAAGCGATTTGAGGCCAATTGTAGAAAAGGAAATATCTTCGTATAAAAACTAGACAGAACAATTCTCAGAAACTGCTCTGTGATTTGTGCGTTCAACTCACAGATTTTAAACTTTCTTTTCATAGAGCAGTTTGGAAACACTCTTTTTGTAAAGTCTGCAAGCGGATATTTGGACCTCTTTCAGGCCTTCTTTGGAAACGGGATTTCTCCATATACTGCTAGCCCGAAGCATTTTCAGTAACTACTTTGTGTTGTGTGTATTCAACTCACAGATTTGAACCTTTCTTTAGACAGAGCAGATTTGAAACGCTCTTTTCGTGGCTTTTGCAAGTAAAGATTTCAAGCGATTTGAGGCCAATGGTAGAAAAGGAAATATCTTCGTATAAAAACTAGACAGAATCATTCTCAGAATCTACTTTGTGATGTGTGCGTGCAACTCACGGAGATTAACCTTTCTTTTCATAGAGAAGTTTGGAAACACTCTGTCTGTAAGGTCTGCAAGTGGATATTTAGATTTCTGTGAGGCCTTCGTTGCAAACGGGATTTCTTCATATACTGCCCGACAGAAGAATTCTCAGTTACTACTTTCTGTTGTGTGCATTCAACTCACAGAGTTGAACCTTCCTTTATTCAGAGCAGTTTTGAAACACTCTTTTTGTGGAATTTGCAAGTGGAGATTTCAAGGGATTTGAGGCCAATCTTAGAAATGGAAATATCTTCGAATTAAAACTACACAGAATCATTCGCAGAAACTAGTTTGTGATGTGTGCGTTCAACTCACAGAGTTTAACGTTTCTTTTCATAGAGCAGTTTGGAAATGCTGTCTTTGTAAAGTCTGCAAGTGGATATTAGGACCTCTTTGAGGCCTTCGTTGGAAACGGGATTTCCTCCTATAATGCTAGACAGAAGAATTCCCAGTCACTTCTTTGTGTTGTGTGCATTCAACTCAGAGATTTGAACCTTTCTTTAGAGAGAGCACATTTGAAACACTCTTTTTGTGTAATTTTCTATTGCAGATTTCAAGCTCTTCGAGGACAATGGTAGGAAAGGAAATATCTTCGTATGAAAACTAGACAAAATCATTCTCAGAAACTACTTTGTGATGTGTGCGTTCCACTCACAGAGTTTAACCTTTCTTTTAATTGAGCAGTTTGGAAACACTCTCTTTGTAAAGTCTGCAGTAGGATATTTGGACCTCTTTGAGGCCTTCGTTGGAAACGGGATTTCTTCATATAATGCTAGATAGAAGAATTCTCAGTAACTTGTTTGTGTTGTGTGTATTCAACTAACAGAGTTGAACCTTCCTTTAGAAAGAGCAGTTTTCAAACACTCTGTTTGTGCAATTTCCAATGGAGATTTCCAGGGATTTGAGGCCAGTCTTAGAAATGGAAATATCTTTGTATAAAAACTAGACAGTGTCATTCTGAGATACTACCTTGTGATGTGTGCGTTCAACTCACAGAGTTTAACCTTTCTTTTCATAGAGCAGTTTGGAAACACTCTATTTGTAAAGTCTGCAAGTGGATATTTGGACTTTGAGGCCTTCGTTGGAAACGGGATTTCTTCTTATAATGCTAGACAGAAGTATTCTCAGTCACTTCTTTGTGTTGTGTGCATTCAACTCAGAGATTTGAACCTTCCTTTAGAGAGAGCACATTTGAAACACTCTTTTTGTGTAATTTGCTAGTGCAGATTTCAAGCTCTTCGAGGACAATGGTAGAAAAGGCAATATCTTCGTATGAAAACTAGACAAACTCATTCTCAGAAACTACTTTGTGATGTGTGCTTCCACTCACAGAGTTTAACCTTTCTTTTAATTGAGCAGTTTGGAAACACTATTTTTGTAAAGTCTGCAAGTGGATATTTGGACTTCTTTGAGCCCTTCGTTGGAAACGGGATTTCTCCATATACTGCTAGACCGAAGCATTTTCAGTAACTACTTTGTGTTGTGTGTATTCAACTCACAGATTTGAACCTTTGTTTAGACAGAGCAGATTTGAAACGCTCTTTTCGTGGCTTTTGCATGTGGAGGTTTCAAACGATTTGAGGCCAATGGTAGAAAAGGAAATATCTTCGTATAAAAACTAGAGAGAATCATTCTCAGAAATTACTTTCTGATGTGTGCGTGCAACTCACGGAGATTAACCTTTCTTTTCATACAGCAGTTTGGAAAGACTCTGTCTGTAAGGTCTGCAAGTGGATATTTAGATTTCTGTGAGGCCTTCGTTGCAAACGGGATTTCTTCATATACTCACAGACAGAAGAATTCTCAGTAACTCTTTGTGTTGTGTGCATTCAACTCACGGAGTTGAACCTTCCTTTATTCAGAGCAGTTTTGAAACACTCTTTTTGTGGAATTTGCAAGTGGAGATTTCAAGGGATTTGAGGCCAATCTTAGAAATGGAAATATCTTCGAATTAAAACTACACAGAATCGTACGCAGAAACTAGTTTGTGATGTGTGCGTTCAACTCACAGAGTTTAACGTTTCTTTTCATAGAGCAGTTTGGAAACGCTCTCTTTGTAAAGTCTCCAAGTGGATATTTGGAGCTGTTTGAGCCCTTCGTTGGAAACGGGACTTCTTCATATAATGCTAGACAGAAGAATACTCAGTAACTTCTTTGTGCTGTGTGTATTCAACTCACAGAGTTGAACTTTTCTTTAGACAGAGCAGATTTGATACTCTCTTTTCGTGGCTTTTGCCAGAGGAGATTTCAAGTCATTGGAGGCCAATGGTAGGAAAGAAAATATCTTCGTATAATAACTAAACAGAATCATTCTCAGAAGCTTCTTTGTGATGTGTGCGTTCAACTCACAGAGTTTAACCTTTCTTTTCATAGAGCAGGTTGGAAGCACTCTCTTTGTAAAGTCTGCAAGCAGATATTTGGACCTTTTTGAGGCCTTCGTTGGAAACGGGATTTCTTCATATACTGCTAGACCAAAGAATTCTCAGTAACTTCTTTGGGTTGTGTGTATTCAATTCACAGAGTTGAACCTTTCTTTAGACCGAGCAGATTTGAAACTCTCCTTTCGTTGCTTTTGCAAGTGGAGATTTCAAGCGATTTGAGGCCAATTGTAGAAAAGGAAATATCTTCGTATAAAAACTAGACAGAACATTTCTCAGAAACTGCTCTGTGATTTGTGCGTTCAACTCACAGATTTTAAACTTTCTTTTCATAGAGCAGTTTGGAAACACTCTTTTTGTAAAGTCTGCAAGCGGATATTTGGACTTCTTTCAGGCCTTCTTTGGAAACGGGATTTCTCCATATACTGCTAGCCCGAAGAATTTTCAGTAACTACTTTGTGTTGTGTGTATTCAACTCACAGATTTGAACCTTTCTTTAGACAGAGCAGATTTGAAACGCTCTTTTCATGGCTTTTGCAAGTAAAGATTTCAAGCGATTTGAGGCCAATGGTAGAAAAGGAAATATCTTCGTATAAAAACTAGACAGAATCATTCTCAGAATCTACTTTGTGATGTGTGCATGCAACTCACGGAGATTAACCTTTCTTTTCATAGAGAAGTTTGGAAACACTCTGTCTGTAAGGTCTGCAAGTGGATATTTAGATTTCTGTGAGGCCTTCGTTGCAAACGGGATTTCTTCATATACTGCCCGACAGAAGAATTCTCAGTTACTACTTTCTGTTGTGTGCATTCAACTCACAGAGTTGAACCTTCCTTTATTCAGAGCAGTTTTGAAACACTCTTTTTGTGGCATTTGCAAGTGGAGATTTCAAGGGATTTGAGGCCTATCTTAGAAATGGAAATATCTTCGAATTAAAACTACACAGAATCATTCGCAGAAACTAGTTTGTGATGTGTGCGTTCAACTCACAGAGTTTAACGTTTCTTTTCATAGAGCAGTTTGGAAACACTCTATTTGTAAAGTCTGCAAGTGGATATTTGGACCTCTTTGAGGCCTTCTTTGGAAACGGGATTTCTTCCTGTAATGCTAGACAGAAGAATTCCCAGTCACTTCTTTGTGTTGTGTGCATTCAACTCAGAGATTTGAACCTTCCTTTAGAGAGAGCACATTTGAAACACTCTTTTTGTGTAATTTGCTAGTGCAGATTTCAAGCTCTTCGAGGACAATGGTAAGAAAGGAAATATCTTCGTATTAAAACTAGACAAAATCATTCTCAGAAACTACTTTGTGATGTGTGCGTTCCACTCACAGAGTTTAACCTTTCTTTTAATTGAGCAGTTTGGAAACACTATTTTTGTAAAGTCTGCAAGTGGATATTTGGACTTCTTTGAGCCCTTCGTTGGAAACGGGATTTCTCCATATACTGCTAGACCGAAGCATTTTCAGTAACTACTTTGTGTTGTGTGTATTCAACTCACAGATTTGAACCTTTCTTTAGACAGAGCAGATTTGAAACGCTCTTTTCGTGGCTTTTGCATGTGGAGGTTTCAAACGATTTGAGGCCAATGGTAGAAAAGGAAATATCTTCGTATAAAAACTAGAGAGAATCATTCTCAGAAATTACTTTCTGATGTGTGCGTGCAACTCACGGAGATTAACCTTTCTTTTCATAGAGCAGTTTGGAAAGACTCTGTCTGTAAGGTCTGCAAGTGGATATTTAGATTTCTGGGAGGCCTTCGTTGCAAACGGGATTTCTTCATATACTCACAGACAGAAGAATTCTCAGTAACTCTTTGTGTTGTGTGCATTCAACTCACGGAGTTGAACCTTCCTTTATTCAGAGCAGTTTTGAAACACTCTTTTTGTGGAATTTGCAAGTGGAGATTTCAAGGGATTTGAGGCCAATCTTAGAAATGGAAATATCTTCGAATTAAAACTACACAGAATCGTTCGCAGAAACTAGTTTGTGATATGTGCGTTCAACTCACAGAGTTTAACGTTTCTTTTCATAGAGCAGTTTGGAAACGCTCTCTTTGTAAAGTCTCCAAGTGGATATTTGGAGCTGTTTGAGCCCTTCGTTGGAAACGGGACTTCTTCATATAATGCTAGACAGAAGAATACTCAGTAACTTCTTTGTGCTGTGTGTATTCAACTCACAAAGTTGAACTTTTCTTTAGACAGGGCAGATTTGATACTCTCTTTTCGTGGCTTTTGCCAGAGGAGATTTCAAGTCATTGGAGGCCAATGGTAGAAAAGAAAATATCTTCGTATAATAACTAAACAGAGTCATTCTGAGATACTACCTTGTGATGTGTGCGTTCAACTCACAGAGTTTAACCTTTCTTTTCATAGAGCAGTTTGGAAACACTCTATTTGTAAAGTCTGCAAGTGGATATTTGGACCTCTTTGAGGCCTTCGTTGGAAACGGGATTTCTTCATATACTGCTAGACCAAAGAATTCTCAGTAACTACTTTGGGTTGTGTGTATTCAATTCACAGAGTTGAACCTTTCTTTAGACCGAGCAGATTTGAAACTCTCCTTTCGTTGCTTTTGCAAGTGGAGATTTCAAGCGATTTGAGGCCAATTGTAGAAAAGGAAATATCTTCGTATAAAAACTAGACAGAACAATTCTCAGAAACTGCTCTGTGATTTGTGCGTTCAACTCACAGATTTTAAACTTTCTTTTCATAGAGCAGTTTGGAAACACTCTTTTTGTAAAGTCTGCAAGCGGATATTTGGACCTCTTTCAGGCCTTCTTTGGAAACGGGATTTCTCCATATACTGCTAGCCCGAAGAATTTTCAGTAACTAATTTGTGTTGTGTGTATTCAACTCACAGATTTGAACCTTTCTTTAGACAGAGCAGATTTGAAACGCTCTTTTCGTGGCTTTTGCAAGTAAAGATTTCAAGCGATTTGAGGCCAATGGTAGGAAAGGAAATATCTTCGTATAAAAACTAGACAGAATCATTCTCAGAATCTACTTTGTGATGTGTGCGTGCAACTCACGGAGATTAACCTTTCTTTTCATAGAGAAGTTTGGAAACACTCTGTCTGTAAGGTCTGCAAGTGGATATTTAGATTTCTGTGAGGCCTTCGTTGCAAACGGGATTTCTTCATATACTGCCCGACAGAAGAATTCTCAGTTACTACTTTCTGTTGTGTGCATTCAACTCACAGAGTTGAATCTTCCTTTATTCAGAGCAGTTTTGAAACACTCTTTTTGTGGAATTTGCAAGTGGAGATTTCAAGGGATTTGAGGCCTAATCTTAGAAATGTAAATATCTTCGAATTAAAACTACACAGAATCATTCGCAGAAACTAGTTTGTGATGTGTGCGTTCAACTCACAGAGTTTAACCTTTCTTTTCATAGAGCAGTTTGGAAACGCTGTCTTTGTAAAGTCTGCAAGTGGATATTAGGACCTCTTTGAGGCCTTCGTTGGAAACGGGATTTCCTCCTATAATGCTAGACAGAAGAATTCCCAGTCACTTCTTTGTGTTGTGTGCATTCAACTCAGAGATTTGAACCTTCCTTTAGAGAGAGCACATTTAAAACACTCTTTTTGTGTAATTTGCTAGTGCAGATTTCAAGCTCTTCGAGGACAATGGTAGGAAAGGAAATATCTTCGTATGAAAACTAGACAAAATCATTCTCAGAAACTACTTTGTGATGTGTGCGTTCCACTCACAGAGTTTAACCTTTCTTTTAATTGAGCAGTTTGGAAACACTCTCTTTGTAAAGTCTGCAGTAGGACATTTGGACCTCTTTGAGGCCTTCGTTGGAAACGGGATTTCTTCATATAATGCTAGATAGAAGAATTTTCAGTAACTTGTTTGTGTTGTTTGTATTCAACTAACAGAGTTGAACCTTCCTTTAGAAAGAGCAGTTTTCAAACACTCTGTTTGTGCAATTTCCAATGGAGATTTCTAGGGATTTGAGGCCAGTCTTAGAAATGGAAATATCTTTGTATAAAAACTAGACAGTATCATTCTCAGAAACTACTTTGTGATGTGTGCATTCAAATCACAGAGTTTAGCCTTTCTTTTCATAGAGCAGTTTGGAAACATTCTGTTTGTAAAGTCTGCAAGTGGATATTTGGACCTCTTTGAGGCCTTCGTTGGAAACGGGATTTCTTCATTTAATGCTAGACAGAAGTATTCTCAGTCACTTCTTTGTGTTGTGTGCATTCAACCCAGAGATTTGAACCTTCCTTTAGAGAGAGCACATTTGAAACACTCTTTTTGTGTAATTTGCTAGTGCAGATTTCAAGCTCTTCGAGGACAATGGTAGAAAAGGCAATATCTTCGTATGAAAACTAGACAAACTCATTCTCAGAAACTACTTTGTGATGTGTGCGTTCCACTCACAGAGTTTAACCTTTCTTTTAATTGAGCAGTTTGGAAACACTATTTTTGTAAAGTCTGCAAGTGGATATTTGGACTTCTTTGAGCCCTTCGTTGGAAACGGGATTTCTCCATATACTGCTAGACCGAAGCATTTTCAGTAACTACTTTGTGTTGTGTGTATTCAACTCACAGATTTGAACCTTTCTTTAGACAGAGCAGATTTGAAACGCTCTTTTCGTAGCTTTTGCATGTGGAGGTTTCAAACGATTTGAGGCCAATGGTAGAAAAGGAAATATCTTCGTATAAAAACTAGAGAGAATCATTCTCAGAAATTACTTTCTGATGTGTGCGTGCAACTCACGGAGATTAACCTTTCTTTTCATAGAGCAGTTTGGAAAGACTCTGTCTGTAAGGTCTGCAAGTGGATATTTAGATTTCTGTGAGGCCTTCGTTGCAAACGGGATTTCTTCATATACTCACAGACAGAAGAATTCTCAGTAACTCTTTGTGTTGTGTGCATTGAACTCACGGAGTTGAACCTTCCTTTATTCAGAGCAGTTTTGAAACACTCTTTTTCTGGAATTTCCAAGTGGAGATTTCCAGGGATTTGAGGCCAATCTTAGAAATGGAAATATCTTCGAATTAAAACTACACAGAATCGTTCGCAGAAACTAGTTTGTGATGTGTGCGTTCAACTCACAGAGTTTAACGTTTCTTTTCATAGAGCAGTTTGGAAACGCTCTCTTTGTAAAGTCTCCAAGTGGATATTTGGAGCTGTTTGAGCCCTTCGTTAGAAACGGGACTTCTTCATATAATGCTAGACAGAAGAATACTCAGTAACTACTTTGTGCTGTGTGTATTCAACTCACAGAGTTGAACTTTTCTTTAGACAGAGCAGATTTGATACTCTCTTTTCATGGGTTTTGCCAGAGGAGATTTCAAGTCATTGGAGGCCAATGGTAGAAAAGAAAATATCTTCGTATAATAACTAAACAGAATCATTCTCAGAAACTTCTTTGTGATGTGTGCGTTCAACTCACAGAGTTTAACCTTTCTTTTCATAGAGCAGGTTGGAAGCACTCTCTTTGTAAAGTCTGCAAGCAGATATTTGGACCTTTTTGAGGCCTTCGTTGGAAACGGGATTTCTTCATATACTGCTAGACCGAAGAATTCTCAGTAACTTCTTTGGGTTGTGTGTATTCAATTCACAGAGTTGAACCTTTCTTTAGACCGAGCAGATTTGAAACTCTCCTTTCGTTGCTTTTGCAAGTGGAGATTTCAAGCGTTTTGAGGCCAATTGTAGAAAAGGAAATATCTTCGTATAAAAACTAGACAGAACAATTCTCAGAAACTGCTATGTGATTTGTGCGTTCAACTCACAGATTTTAAACTTTCTTTTCATAGAGCAGTTTGGAAACACTCTTTTTGTAAAGTCTGCAAGCGGATATTTGGACCTCTTTCAGGCCTTCTTTAGAAACGGGATTTCTCCATATACCGCTAGCCCGAAGAATTTTCAGTAACTACTTTGTGTTGTGTGTATTCAACTCACAGATTTGAACCTTTCTTTAGACAGAGCAGATTTGAAACGCTCTTTTCGTGGCTTTTGCAAGTAAAGATTTGAAGCGATTTGAGGCCAATGGTAGAAAAGGAAATATCTTCATATAAAAACTAGACAGAATCATTCTCAGAATCTACTTTGTGATGTGTGCGTGCAACTCACGGAGATTAACCTTTCTTTTCATAGAGAAGTTTGGAAACACTCTGTCTGTGAGGTCTGCAAGTGGATATTTAGATTTCTGTGAGGCCTTCGTTGCAAACGGGATTTCTTCATATACTGCCCGACAGAAGAATTCTCAGTTACTACTTTCTGCTGTGTGCATTCAACTCACAGAGTTGAACCTTCCTTTATTCAGAGCAGTTTTGAAACACTCTTTTTGTGGAATTTGCAAGTGGAGATTTCAAGGGATTTGAGGCCAATCTTAGTAATGGAAATATCTTCGAATTAAAACTACACAGAATCATTCGCAGAAACTAGTTTGTGATGTGTGCGTTCAACTCACAGAGTTTAACGTTTCTTTTCATAGAGCAGTTTGGAAACGCTGTCTTTGTAAAGTCTGCAAGTGGATATTAGGACCTCTTTGAGGCCTTCGTTGGAAACGGGATTTCCTCCTATAATGCTAGACAGAAGAATTCCCAGTCACTTCTTTGTGTTGTGTGCATTCAACTCAGAGATTTGAACCTTCCTTTAGAGAGAGCACATTTAAAACACTCTTTTTGTGTAATTTGCTAGTGCAGATTTCAAGCTCTTCGAGGACAATGGTAGGAAAGGAAGTATCTTCGTATTAAAACTAGACAAAATCATTCTCAGAAACTACTTTGTGATGTGTGCGTTCCACTCACAGAGTTTAACCTTTCTTTTAATTGAGCAGTTTGGAAACACTCTCTTTGTAAAGTCTGCAGTAGGATATTTGGACCTCTTTGAGGCCTTCGTTGGAAACGGGATTTCTTCATATAATGCTAGATAGAAGAATTCTCAGTAACTTGTTTGTGTTGTGTGTATTCAACTAACAGAGTTGAACCTTCCTTTAGAAAGAGCAGTTTTCAAACACTCTGTTTGTGCAATTTCCAATGGAGATTTCTAGGGATTTGAGGCCAGTCTTAGAAATGGAAATATCTTTGTATAAAAACTAGACAGTGTCATTCTGAGATACTACCTTGTGATGTGTGCGTTCAACTCACAGAGTTTAACCTTTCTTTTCATAGAGCAGTTTGGAAACACTCTATTTGTAAAGTCTGCAAGTGGATATTTGGACCTCTTTGAGGCCTTCGTTGGAAACGGGATTTCTTCCTGTAATGCTAGACAGAAGTATTCTCAGTCACTTCTTTGTGTTGTGTGCATTCAACTCAGAGATTTGAACCTTCCTTTAGAGAGAGCACATTTGAAACACTCTTTTTGTGTAATTTGCTAGTGCAGATTTCAAGCTCTTCGAGGACAATGGTAGAAAAGGAAATATCTTCGTATGAAAACTAGACAAACTCATTCTCAGAAACTACTTTGTGATGTGTGCGTTCCACTCACAGAGTTTAACCTTTCTTTTAATTGAGCAGTTTGGAAACACTATTTTTGTAAAGTCTGCAAGTGGATATTTGGACTTCTTTGAGCCCTTCTTTGGAAACGGGATTTCTCCATATACTGCTAGACCGAAGCATTTTCAGTAACTACTTTGTGTTGTGTGTATTCAACTCACAGATTTGAACCTTTCTTTAGACAGAGCAGATTTGAAACGCTCTTTTCGTGGCTTTTGCATGTGGAGGTTTCAAACGATTTGAGGCCAATGGTACAAAAGGAAATATCTTCGTATAAAAACTAGAGAGAATCATTCTCAGAAATTACTTTCTGATGTGTGCGTGCAACTCACGGAGATTAACCTTTCTTTTCATAGAGCAGTTTGGAAAGACTCTGTCTGTAAGGTCTGCAAGTGGATATTTAGATTTCTGGGAGGCCTTCGTTGCAAACGGGATTTCTTCATATACTCACAGACAGAAGAATTCTCAGTAACTCTTTGTGTTGTGTGCATTCAACTCACGGAGTTGAACCTTCCTTTATTCAGAGCAGTTTTGAAACACTCTTGTTGTGGAATTTGCAAGTGGAGATTTCAAGGGATTTGAGGCCAATCTTAGAAATGGAAATATCTTCGAATTAAAACTACACAGAATCGTTCACAGAAACTAGTTTGTGATGTGTGCGTTCAACTCACAGAGTTTAACGTTTCTTTTCATAGAGCAGTTTGGAAACGCTCTCTTTGTAAAGTCTCCAAGTGGATATTTGGAGCTGTTTGAGCCCTTCGTTGGAAACGGGACTTCTTCATATAATGCTAGACAGAAGAATTCTCAGTAACTTCTTTGGGTTGTGTGTATTCAATTCACAGAGTTGAACCTTTCTTTAGACCGAGCAGATTTGAAACTCTCCTTTCGTTGCTTTTGCAAGTGGAGATTTCAAGCGATTTGAGGCCAATTGTAGAAAAGGAAATATCATCGTATAAAAACTAGACAGAACAATTCTCAGAAACTACTCTGTGATATGTGCGTGCAACTCACAGAGATTAACCTTTCTTTGCATACAGCAGTTTGGATAGACTCTGTCTGTAAAGTCTGTAAGTGGATATTTGGACATCTTTGAGGCCTTCGTTGGAAACGGGATTTCTTCATATACTGCTAGACCGAAGAATTCTCAGTAACTTCTTTGGGTTGTGTGTATTCAATTCACAGAGTTGAACCTTTCTTTAGACTGAGCAGAGTTGAAACTCTCCTTTCGTTGCTTTTGCAAGTGGAGATTTCAAGCGATTTGAGGCCAATTGTAGAAAAGGAAATATCTTCGTATAAAAACTGGACAGAACAATTCTCAGAAACTGCTCTGTGATTTGTGCGTTCAACTCACAGATTTTAAACTTTCTTTTCATAGAGCAGTTTGGAAACACTCTTTTTGTAAAGTCTGCAAGCGGATATTTGGACCTCTTTCAGGCCTTCTTTGGAAACGGGATTTCTCCATATACTGCTAGCCCGAAGCATTTTCAGTAACTACTTTGTGTTGTGTGTATTCAACTCACAGATTTGAACCTTTCTTTAGACAGAGCAGATTTGAAACGCTCTTTTCGTGGCTTTTGCAAGTAAAGATTTCAAGCGATTTGAGGCCAATGGTAGAAAAGGAAATATCTTCGTATAAAAACTAGACAGAATCATTCTCAGAATCTACTTTGTGATGTGTGCGTGCAACTCACGGAGATTAACCTTTCTTTTCATAGAGAAGTTTGGAAACACTCTGTCTGTAAGGTCTGCAAGTGGATATTTAGATTTCTGTGAGGCCTTCGTTGCAAACGGGATTTCTTCATATACTACCCGACAGAAGAATTCTCAGTTACTACTTTCTGTTGTGTGCATTCAACTCACAGAGTTGAATCTTCTTTATTCAGAGCAGTTTTGAAACACTCTTTTTGTGGAATTTGCAAGTGGAGATTTCAAGGGATTTGAGGCCAATCTTAGAAATGTAAATATCTTCGAATTAAAACTACACAGAATCATTCGCAGAAACTAGTTTGTGATGTGTGCGTTCAACTCACAAAGTTTAACGTTTCTTTTCATAGAGCAGTTTGGAAACGCTGTCTTTGTAAAGTCTGCAAGTGGATATTAGGACCTCTTTGAGGCCTTCGTTGGAAACGGGATTTCCTCCTATAATGCTAGACAGAAGAATTCCCAGTCACTTCTTTGTGTTGTGTGCATTCAACTCAGAGATTTGAACCTTCCTTTAGAGAGAGCACATTTAAAACACTCTTTTTGTGTAATTTGCTAGTGCAGATTTCAAGCTCTTCGAGGACAATGGTAGAAAAGGAAATATCTTCGTATGAAAACTAGACAAACTCATTCTCAGAAACTACTTTGTGATGTGTGCGTTCCACTCACAGAGTTTAACCTTTCTTTTAATTGAGCAGTTTGGAAACACTCTCTTTGTAAAGTCTGCAGTAGGATATTTGGACCTCTTTGAGGCCTTCGTTGGAAACGGGATTTCTTCATATAATGCTAGATAGAAGAATTCTCAGTAACTTGTTTGTGTTGTGTGTATTCAACTAACAGAGTTGAACCTTCCTTTAGAAAGAGCAGTTTTCAAACACTCTGTTTGTGCAATTTCCACTGGAGATTTCTAGGGATTTGAGGTCAGTCTTAGAAATGCAAATATCTTTGTATAAAAAGTAGACAGTGTCATTCTGAGATACTACCTTGTGATGTGTGCGTTCAACTCACAGAGTTTAACCTTTCTTTTCATAGAGCAGTTTGGAAACACTCTATTTGTAAAGTCTGCAAGTGGATATTTGGACCTCTTTGAGGCCTTCATTGGAAACGGGATTTCTTCCTATAATGCTAGACAGAAGTATTCTCAGTCACTTCTTTGTGTTGTGTGCATTCAACTCAGAGATTTGAACCTTCCTTTAGAGAGAGCACATTTGAAACACTCGTTTTGTGTAATTTGCTAGTGCAGATTTCAAGCTCTTCGAGGACAATGGTAGAAAAGGAAATATCTTCTTATGAAAACTAGACAAACTCATTCTCAGAAACTACTTGGTGATGTGTGCGTTCCACTCACAGAGTTTAACCTTTCTTTTAATTGAGCAGTTTGGAAACACTATTTTTGTAAAGTCTGCAAGTGGATATTTGGACTTCTTTGAGCCCTTCGTTGGAAACGGGATTTCTCCATATACTGCTAGACCGAAGCATTTTCAGTAACTACTTTGTGTTGTGTGTATTCAACTCACAGATTTGAACCTTTCTTTAGACAGAGCAGATTTGAAACGCTCTTTTCGTGGCTTTTGCATGTGGAGGTTTCAAACGATTTGAGGCCAATGGTAGAAAAGGAAATATCTTCGTATAAAAACTAGAGAGAATCATTCTCAGAAATTACTTTCTGATGTGTGCGTGCAACTCACGGAGATTAACCTTTCTTTTCATAGAGAAGTTTGGAAAGACTCTGTCTGTAAGGTCTGCAAGTGGATATTTAGATTTCTGGGAGGCCTTCGTTGCAAACGGGATTTCTTCATATACTCACAGACAGAAGAATTCTCAGTAACTCTTTGTGTTGTGTGCATTCAACTCACGGAGTTGAACCTTCCTTTATTCAGAGCAGTTTTGAAACACTCTTTTTGTGGAATTTGCAAGTGGAGATTTCAAGGGATTTGAGGCCAATCTTAGAAATGGAAATATCTTCGAATTAAAACTACACAGAATCGTTCGCAGAAACTAGTTTGTGATGTGTGCGTTCAACTCACAGAGTTTAACGTTTCTTTTCATAGAGCAGTTTGGAAACGCTCTCTTTGTAAAGTCTCCAAGTGGATATTTGGAGCTCTTTGAGCCCTTCGTTGGAAACGGGACTTCTTCATATAATGCTACACAGAAGAATACTCAGTAACTTCTTTGTGTTGTGTGTATTCAACTCACAGAGTTGAACTTTTCTTTAGACAGAGCAGATTTGATACTCTCTTTTCGTGGCTTTTGCCAGAGGAGATTTCAAGCGATTTGGGGCCAATTGTAGAAAAGGAAATATCTTCGTATAAAAACTAAACAGAATCATTCTCAGAAACTTCTTTGTGATGTGTGCGTTCAACTCACAGAGTTTAACCTTTCTTTTCATAGAGCAGGTTGGAAGCACTCTCTTTGTAAAGTCTGCAAGCAGATATTTGGACCTTTTTGAGGCCTTCGTTGGAAACGGGATTTCTTCATATACTGCTAGACCGAAGAATTCTCAGTAACTTCTTTGGGTTGTGTGTATTCAATTCACAGAGTTGAACCTTTCTTTAGACCGAGCAGATTTGAAACTCTCCTTTCGTTGCTTTTGCAAGTGGAGATTTCAAGCGATTTGAGGCCAATTGTAGAAAAGGAAATATCTTCGTATAAAAACTAGACAGAACAATTCTCAGAAACTGCTCTGTGATTTGTGCGTTGAACTCACAGATTTTAAACTTTCTTTTCATACAGCAGTTTGGAAACACTCTTTTTGTAAAGTCTGCAAGCGGATATTTGGACCTCTTTCAGGCCTTGCTTTGGAAACGGGATTTCTCCATATACTGCTAGCCCGAGCATTTTCAGTAACTACTTTGTGTTGTGTGTATTCAACTCACAGATTTGAACCTTTCTTTAGACAGAGCAGATTTGAAACGCTCTTTTCGTGGCTTTTGCAAGTAAAGATTTCAAGCGATTTGAGGCCAATGGTAGAAAAGGAAATATCTTCGTATAAAAACTAGACAGAATCATTCTCAGAATCTACTTTGTGATGTGTGCGTGCAACTCACGGAGATTAACCTTTCTTTTCATAGAGAAGTTTGGAAACACTCTGTCTGTAAGGTCTGCAAGTGGATATTTAGATTTCTGTGAGGCCTTCGTTGCAAACGGGATTTCTTCATATACTGCCCGACAGAAGAATTCTCAGTTACTACTTTCAGTTGTGTGCATTCAACTCACAGAGTTCAACCTTCCTTTATTCAGAGCAGTTTTGAAACACTCTTTTTGTGGAATTTGCAAGTGGAGATTTCAAGGGATTTGAGGCCAATCTTAGAAATGGAAATATCTTCGAATTAAAACTACACAGAATCATTCGCAGAAACTAGTTTGTGATGTGTGTGTTCAACTCACAGAGTTTAACGTTTCTTTTCATAGAGCAGTTTGGAAACGCTGTCTTTGTAAAGTCTGCAAGTGGATATTAGGACCTCTTTGAGGCCTTCGTTGGAAACGGGATTTCCTCCTATAATGCTAGACAGAAGAATTCCCAGTCACTTCTTTGTGTTGTGTGCATTCAACTCAGAGATTTGAACCTTCCTTTAGAGAGAGCACATTTAAAACACTCTTTTTGTGTAATTTGCTAGTGCAGATTTCAAGCTCTTCGAGGACAATGGTAGGAAAGGAAATATCTTCGTATGAAAACTAGACAAAATCATTCTCAGAAACTACTTTGTGATGTGTGCGTTCCACTCACAGACTTTAACCTTTCTTTTAATTGAGCAGTTTGGAAACACTCTCTTTGTAAAGTCTGCAGTAGGATATTTGGACCTCTTTGAGGCCTTCATTGGAAACGGGATTTCTTCATATAATGCTAGATAGAAGAATTCTCAGTAACTTGTTTGTGTTGTGTGTATTCAACTAACAGAGTTGAACCTTCCTTTAGAAAGAGCAGTGTTCAAACACTCTGTTTGTGCAATTTCCAATGGAGATTTCTAGGGATTTGAGGCCAGTCTTAGAAATGGAAATATCTTTGTATAAAAACTAGACAGTGTCATTCTGAGATACTACCTTGTGATGTGTGCGTTCAACTCACAGAGTTTAACCTTTCTTTTCATAGAGCAGTTTGGAAACACTCTATTTGTAAAGTCTGCAAGTGGATATTTGGACCTCTTTGAGGCCTTCGTTGGAAACGGGATTTCTTCCTATAATGCTAGACAGAAGTATTCTCAGTCACTTCTTTGTGTTGTGTGCATTCAACTCAGAGATTTGAACCTTCCTTTAGAGAGAGCACATTTGAAACACTCTTTTTGTGTAATTTGCTAGTGCAGATTTCAAGCTCTTCGAGGACAATGGTAGGAAAGGAAATATCTTCGTATTAAAACTAGACAAAATCATTCCCAGAAACTACTTTTTGATGTGTGCGTTCCACTCACAGAGTTTAACCTTTCTTTTAATTGAGCAGTTTGGAAACACTATTTTTGTAAAGTCTGCAAGTGGATATTTGGACTTCTTTGAGCCCTTCGTTGGAAACGGGATTTCTCCATATACTGCTAGACCGAAGCATTTTCAGTAACTACTTTGTGTTGTGTGTATTCAACTCACAGATTTGAACCTTTCTTTAGACAGAGCAGATTTGAAACGCTCTTTTCGTGGCTTTTGCATGTGGAGGTTTCAAACGATTTGAGGCCAATGGTAGAAAAGGAAATATCTTCGTATAAAAACTAGAGAGAATCATTCTCAGAAATTACTTTCTGATGTGTGCGTGCAACTCACGGAGATTAACCTTTCTTTTCATAGAGCAGTTTGGAAAGACTCTGTCTGTAAGGTCTGCAAGTGGATATTTAGATTTCTGTGAGGCCTTCGTTGCAAACGGGATTTCTTCATATACTCACAGACAGAAGAATTCTCAGTAACTCTTTGTGTTGTGTGCATTCAACTCACGGAGTTGAACCTTCATTTATTCAGAGCAGTTTTGAAACACTCTTTTTGTGGAATTTGCAAGTGGAGATTTCAAGGGATTTGAGGCCAATCTTAGAAATGGAAATATCTTCGAATTAAAACTACACAGAATCGTTCGCAGAAACTAGTTTGTGATATGTGCGTTCAACTCACAGAGTTTAACGTTTCTTTTCATAGAGCAGTTTGGAAACGCTCTCTTTGTAAAGTCTCCAAGTGGATATTTGGAGCTGTTTGAGCCCTTCGTTGGAAACGGGACTTCTTCATATAATGCTAGACAGAAGAATACTCAGTAACTTCTTTGTGCTGTGTGTATTCAACTCACAGAGTTGAACTTTTCTTTAGACAGAGCAGATTTGATACTCTCTTTTCGTGGCTTTTGCCAGAGGAGATTTCAAGTCTTTGGAGGCCAATGGTAGAAAAGAAAATATCTTCGTATAATAACTAAACAGAATCATTCTCAGAAACTTCTTTGTGATGTGTGCGTTCAACTCACAGAGTTTAACCTTTCTTTTCATAGAGCAGGTTGGAAGCACTCTCTTTGTAAAGTCTGCAAGCAGATATTTGGACCTTTTTGAGGCCTTCGTTGGAAACGGGATTTCTTCATATACTGCTAGACCGAAGAATTCTCAGTAACTTCTTTGGGTTGTGTGTATTCAATTCACAGAGTTGAACCTTTCTTTAGACCGAGCAGATTTGAAACTCTCCTTTCGTTGCTTTTGCAAGTGGAGATTTCAAGCGATTTGAGGCCAATTGTAGAAAAGGAAATATCTTCGTATAAAAACTAGACAGAACAATTCTCAGAAACTGCTCTGTGATTTGTGCGTTCAACTCACAGATTTTAAACTTTCTTTTCATAGAGCAGTTTGGAAACACTCTTTTTGTAAAGTCTGCAAGCGGATATTTGGACCTCTTTCAGGCCTTCTTTGGAAACGGGATTTCTCCATATACTGCTAGCCTGAAGCATTTTCAGTAACTACTTTGTGTTGTGTGTATTCAACTCACAGATTTGAACCTTTCTTTAGACAGAGCAGATTTGAAACGCTCCTTTCGTGGCTTTTGCAAGTAAAGATTTCAAGCGATTTGAGGACAATGGTAGAAAAGGAAATATCTTCGTATAAAAACTAGACAGAATCATTCTCAGAATCTACTTTGTGATGTGTGCGTGCAACTCACGGAGATTAACCTTTCTTTTCATAGAGAAGTTTGGAAACACTCTGTCTGTAAGGTCTGCAAGTGGATATTTAGATTTCTGTGAGGCCTTCGTTGCAAACGGGATTTCTTCATATACTGCCCGACAGAAGAATTCTCAGTTACTACTTTCAGTTGTGTGCATTCAACTTACAGAGTTGAACCTTCCTTTATTCAGAGCAGTTTTGAAACACTCTTTTTGTGGAATTTGCAAGTGGAGATTTCAAGGGATTTGAGGCCAATCTTAGAAATGGAAATATCTTCGAATTAAAACTACACAGAATCATTCGCAGAAACTAGTTTGTGATGTGTGCGTTCAACTCAGAGTTTAACGTTTCTTTTCATAGAGCAGTTTGGAAACGCTGTCTTTGTAAAGTCTGCAAGTGGATATTAGGACCTCTTTGAGGCCTTCGTTGGAAACGGGATTTCCTCCTATAATGCTAGACAGAAGAATTCCCAGTCACTTCTTTGTGTTGTGTGCATTCAACTCAGACATTTGAACCTTCCTTTAGAGAGAGCACATTTAAAACACTCTTTTTGTGTAATTTGCTAGTGCAGATTTCAAGCTCTTCGAGGACAATGGTAGGAAAGGAAATATCTTCGTATGAAAACTAGACAAAATCATTCTCAGAAACTACTTTGTGATGTGTGCGTTCCACTCACAGAGTTTAACCTTTCTTTTAATTGAGCAGTTTGGAAACACTCTCTTTGTAAAGTCTGCAGTAGGATATTTGGACCTCTTTGAGGCCTTCGTTGGAAACGGGATTTCTTCATATAATGCTAGATAGAAGAATTCTCAGTAACTTGTTTGTGTTGTGTGTATTCAACTAACAGAGTTGAACCTTCCTTTAGAAAGAGCAGTTTTCAAACACTCTGTTTGTGCAATTTCCAATGGAGATTTCTAGGGATTTGAGGCCAGTCTTAGAAATGGAAATATCTTTGTATAAAAACTAGACAGTGTCATTCTGAGATACTACCTTGTGATGTGTGCGTTCAACTCACAGAGTTTAACCTTTCTATTCATAGAGCAGTTTGGAAACACTCTATTTGTAAAGTCTGCAAGTGGATATTTGGACCTCTTTGAGGCCTTCGTTGGAAACGGGATTTCTTCCTATAATGCTAGACAGAAGTATTCTCAGTCACTTCTTTGTGTTGTGTGCATTCAACCCAGAGATTTGAACCTTCCTTTAGAGAGAGCACATTTGAAACACTCTTTTTGTGTAATTTGCTAGTGCAGATTTCAAGCTCTTCGAGGACAATGGTAGAAAAGGAAATATCTTCGTTTGAAAACAAGACAAACTCATTCTCAGAAACTACTTTGTGATGTGTGCGTTCCACTCACAGAGTTTAAACTTTCTTTTAATTGAGCAGTTTGGAAACACTATTTTTGTAAAGTCTGCAAGTGGATATTTGAACTTTTTGAGCCCTTCGTTGGAAACGGGATTTCTCCATATACTGCTAGACCGAAGCATTTTCAGTAACTACTTTGTGTTGTGTGTATTCAACTCACAGATTTGAACCTTTCTTTAGACAGAGCAGATTTGAAACGCTCTTCTCGTGGCTTTTGCATGTGGAGGTTTCAAACGATTTGAGGCCAATGGTAGAAAAGGAAATATCTTCGTATAAAAACTAGAGAGAATCATTCTCAGAAATTACTTTCTGATGTGTGCGTGCAACTCACGGAGATTAACCTTTCTTTTCATAGAGCAGTTTGGAAAGACTCTGTCTGTAAGGTCTGCAAGTCGATATTTAGATTTCTGTGAGGCCTTCGTTGCAAACGGGATTTCTTCATATACTCACAGACAGAACAATTCTCAGTAACTAGTTTGTGTTGTGTAAATTCAACACACAGAGTTGAACCTTCCTTTATTCAGAGCAGTTTTGAAACACTCTTTTTGTGGAATTTGCAAGTGGAGATTTCAAGGGATTTGAGGCCAATCTTAGAAATGGAAATATCTTCGAATTAAAACTACACAGAATCGTTCGCAGAAACTAGTTTGTGATGTGTGCGTTCAACTCACAGAGTTTAACGTTTCTTTTCATAGAGCAGTTTGGAAACGCTCTCTTTGTAAAGTCTCCAAGTGGATATTTGGAGCTGTTTAAGCCCTTCGTTGGAAACGGGACTTCTTCATATAATGCTAGACAGAAGAATACTCAGTAACTTCTTTGTGCTGTGTGTATTCAACTCACAGAGTTGAACTTTTCTTTAGACAGAGCAGATTTGATACTCTCTTTTCGTGGCTTTTGCCAGAGGAGATTTCAAGTCATTGGAGGCCAATGGTAGAAAAGAAAATATCTTCGTATAATAACTAAACAGAATCATTCTCAGAAACTTCTTTGTGATGTGTGCGTTCAACTCACAGAGTTTAACCTTTCTTTTCATAGAGCAGGTTGGAAGCACTCTCTTTGTAAAGTCTGCAAGCAGATATTTGGACCTTTTTGAGGCCTTCGTTAGAAACGGGATTTCTTCATATACTGCTAGACCGAAGAATTCTCAGTAACTTCTTTGGGTTGTGTATATTCAATTCACAGAGTTGAACCTTTCTTTAGACCGAGCAGATTTGAAACTCTCCTTTCGTTGCTTTTGCAAGTGGAGATTTCAAGCGATTTGAGGCCAATTGTAGAAAAGGAAATATCTTCGTATAAAAACTAGACAGAACAATTCTCGGAAACTGCTCTGTGATTTGAGCGTTCAACTCACAGATTTTAAACTTTCTTTTCATAGAGCAGTTTGGAAACACTCTTTTTGTAAAGTCTGCAAGCGGATATTTGGACCTCTTTCAGGCCTTCTTTGGAAACGGGATTTCTCCATATACTGCTAGCCCGAAGAATTTTCAGTAACTACTTTGTGTTGTGTGTATTCAACTCACAGATTTGAACCTTTCTTTAGACAGAGCAGATTTGAAACGCTCTTCTCGTGGCTTTTGCATGTGGAGGTTTCAAACGATTTGAGGCCAATGGTAGAAAAGGAAATATCTTCGTATAAAAACTAGACAGAATCATTCTCAGAAATTACTTTCTGATGTGTGCGTGCAACTCACGGAGATTAACCTTTCTTTTCATAGAGCAGTTTGGAAAGACTCTGTCTGTAAGGTCTGCAAGTGGATATTTAGATTTCTGTGAGGCTTTCGTTGCAAACGGGATTTCTTCATATACTCACAGACAGAAGAATTCTCAGTAACTCTTTGTGTTGTGTGCATTCAACTCACGGAGTTGAACCTTCCTTTATTCAGAGCAGTTTTGAAACACTCTTTTTGTGGAATTTGCAAGTGGAGATTTCAAGGGATTTGAGGCCAATCTTAGAAATGGAAACATCTTCGAATTAAAACTACACAGAATCGTTCGCAGAAACTAGTTTGTGATGTGTGCGTTCAACTCACAGAGTTTAACGTTTCTTTTCATAGAGCAGTTTGGAAACGCTCTCTTTGTAAAGTCTCCAAGTGGATATTTGGAGCTGTTTGAGCCCTTCGTTGGAAACGGGTCTTCTTCATATAATGCTAGACAGAAGAATACTCAGTAACTTCTTTGTGCTGTGTGTATTCAACTCACAGAGTTGAACTTTTCTTTAGACAGAGCAGATTTGATACTCTCTTTTCGTGGCTTTTGCCAGAGGAGATTTCAAGTCATTGGAGGCCAATGGTAGAAAAGAAAATATCTTCGTATAATAACTAAACAGAATCATTCTCAGAAACTTCTTTGTGATGTGTGCGTTCAACTCACAGAGTTTAACCTTTCTTTTCATAGAGCAGGTTGGAAGCACTCTCTTTGTAAAGTCTGCAAGCAGATATTTGGACCTTTTTGAGGCCTTCGTTGGAAACGGGATTTCTTCATATACTGCTAGACCGAAGAATTCTCAGTAACTTCTTTGGGTTGTGTGCATTCAATTCACAGAGTTGAACCTTTCTTTAGACCGAGCAGATTTGAAACTCTCCTTTCGTTGCTTTTGCAAGTGGAGATTTCAAGCGATTTGAGGCCAATTGTAGAAAAGGAAATATCTTCGTATAAAAACTAGACAGAACAATTCTCAGAAACTGCTCTGTGATTTGTGCGTTCAACTCACAGATTTTAAACTTTCTTTTCATAGAGCAGTTTGGAAACACTCTTTTTGTAAAGTCTGCAAGCGGATATTTGGACTTCTTTCAGGCCTTCTTTGGAAACGGGATTTCTCCATATACTGCTAGCCCGAAGAATTTTCAGTAACTACTTTGTGTTGTGTGTATTCAACTCACAGATTTGAACCTTTCTTTAGACAGAGCAGATTTGAAACGCTCTTTTCGTGGCTTTTGCAAGTAAAGATTTCAAGCGATTTGAGGACAATGGTAGAAAAGGAAATATCTTCGTATAAAAACTAGACAGAATCATTCTCAGAATCTACTTTGTGATGTGTGCGTGCAACTCACGGAGATTAACCTTTCTTTTCATAGAGAAGTTTGGAAACACTCTGTCTGTAAGGTCTGCAAGTGGATATTTAGATTTCTGTGAGGCCTTCGTTGCAAACGGGATTTCTTCATATACTGCCCGACAGAAGAATTCTGTTACTACTTTCTGTTGTGTGCATTCAACTCACACAGTTGAACCTTCCTATATTCAGAGCAGTTTTGAAACACTCTTTTTGTGGAATTTGCAAGTGAAGATTTCAAGGGATTTGAGGCCAATCTTAGAAATGGAAATATCTTCGAATTAAAACTACACAGAATCATTCGCAGAAACTAGTTTGTGATGTGTGCGTTCAACTCACACAGTTTAACGTTTCTTTTCATAGAGCAGTTTGGAAACGCTGTCTTTGTAAAGTCTGCAAGTGGATATTAGGACCTCTTTGAGGCCTTCGTTGGAAACGGGATTTCCTCCTATAATGCTAGACAGAAGAATTCCCAGTCACTTCTTTGTGTTGTGTGCATTCAACTCAGAGATTTGAACCTTTCTTTAGAGAGAGCACATTTGAAACACTCTTTTTGTGTAATTTTCTATTGCAGATTTCAAGCTCTTCGAGGACAATGGTAGGAAAGGAAATATCTTCGTATGAAAACTAGACAAAATCATTCTCAGAAAACACTTTGTAATGTGTGCTTTCAACTCACAGAGTTTAACCT
Source organism: Homo sapiens (assembly GCF_000001405.40). Lineage (NCBI taxonomy): Eukaryota > Metazoa > Chordata > Mammalia > Primates > Hominidae > Homo > Homo sapiens. The sequence continues at coordinate 39,833,351 of NC_000010.11, forward strand.
TTCTTTTAATCGAGCAGTTTGGAAACACTCTCTTTGTAATGTCTGCAAGTGGTTAATTGGCCCTCTTTGAGCCCTTCTTTGGAAACGAGATTTCCTCACATAATGCTAGACAGAAGAATTCTCAGTAACTTGTTTGTGTTGTGTGTATTCACCTAACAGAGTTGAACCTTCCTTTAGAAAGAGCAGTTTTCAAACACTCTGTTTGTGCAATTTCCAATGGAGATTTCTAGGGATTTGAGGCCAGTCTTAGAAATGGAAATATCTTTGTATAAAAACTAGACAGTGTCATTCTGAGAAACTACCTTGTGATGTGTGCGTTCAACTCACAGAGATTAACCTTTCTTTTCATAGAGCAGTTTGGAAACACTGTGTTTGTGAAATCTGCAAGTGGATATTTGGACCTCTTTGAGGCCTTCGTTTAAAACGGGATTTCTTCATATAATGTTAGATAGAAGTATTCTCAGTCACTTCTTTGTGTTGTGTGCATTCAACTCAGAGATTTGAACCTTCCTTTAGAGAGAGCACATTTCAAACACTCTTTTTGTGTAATTTGCTAGTGCAGATTTCAAGCTCTTCGAGGACAATGGTAGAAAAGGAAATATCTTCGTATGAAAACTAGACAAACTCATTCTCAGAAACTACTTTGTGATGTGTGCGTTCCACTCACAGTGTTTAACCTTTCTTTTAATTGAGCAGTTTGGAAACACTATTTTTGTAAAGTCTGCAAGTGGATATTTGGACTTCTTTGAGCCCTTCGTTGGAAACGGGATTTCTCCATATACTGCTAGACCGAAGCATTTTCAGTAACTACTTTGTGTTGTGTGTATTCAACTCACAGATTTGAACCTTTCTTTAGACAGAGCAGATTTGAAACGCTCTTTTCGTGGCTTTTGCATGTGGAGGTTTCAAACGATTTGAGGCCAATGGTAGAAAAGGAAATATCTTCGTATAAAAACTAGAGAGAATCATTCTCAGAAATTACTTTGTGATGTGTGCGTGCAACTCACGGAGATTAACCTTTCTTTTCATAGAGCAGTTTGGAAAGACTCTGTCTGTAAGGTCTGCAAGTGGATATTTAGATTTCTGTGAGGCCTTCGTTGCAAACGGGATTTCTTCATATACTCACAGACAGAAGAATTCTCAGTAACTATTTGTGTTGTGTGCATTCAACTCACGGAGTTGAACCTTCCTTTATTCGGAGCAGTTTTGAAACACTCTTTTTGTGGAATTTGCAAGTGGAGATTTCAAGGGATTTGAGGCCAATCTTAGAAATGGAAATATCTTCGAATTAAAACTACACAGAATCGTTCGCAGAAACTAGTTTGTGATGTGTGCGTTCAACTCACAGAGTTTAACGTTTCTTTTCATAGAGCAGTTTGGAAACGCTCTCTTTGTAAAGTCTCCAAGTGGATATTTGGAGCTCTTTGAGCCCTTCGTTGGAAACGGGACTTCTTCATATAATGCTAGACAGAAGAATACTCAGTAACTTCTTTGTGCTGTGTGTATTCAACTCACAGAGTTGAACTTTTCTTTAGACAGAGCAGATTTGATACTCTCTTTTCGTGGCTTTTGCCAGAGGAGATTTCAACTCATTGGAGGCCAATAGTAGAAAAGAAAATATCTTCGTATAATAACTAAACAGAATCATTCTCAGAAACTTCTTTGTGATGTGTGCGTTCAACTCACAGAGTTTAACCTTTCTTTTCATAGAGCAGGTTGGAAGCACTCTCTTTGTAAAGTCTGCATGCAGATATTTGGACCTTTTTGAGGCCTTCGTTGGAAACGGGATTTCTTCATATACTGCTAGACCAAAGAATTCTCAGTAACTTCTTTTGGTTGTGTGTATGCAATTCACAGCGTTGAACCTTTCTTTAGACCGAGCAGATTTGAAACTCTCCTTTCGTTGCTTTTGCAAGTGGAGATTTCAAGCGATTTGAGGCCAATTGTAAAAAAGGAAATATCTTCGTATAAAAACTAGACAGAACAATTCTCAGAAACTGCTCTGTGATTTTTGCGTTCAACTCACAGATTTTAAACTTTCTTTTCATAGAGCAGTTTGGAAACACTCTTTTTGTAAAGTCTGCAAGCGGATATTTGGACCTCTTTCAGGCCTTCTTTGGAAACGGGATTTCTCCATATACTGCTAGCCCGAAGAATTTTCAGTAACTACTTTGTGTTGTGTGTATTCAACTCACAGATTTGAACCTTTCTTTAGACAGAGCAGATTTGAAACGCTCTTTTCGTGGCTTTTGCAAGTAAAGATTTCAAGCGATTTGAGGCCAATGGTAGAAAAGGAAATATCTTCGTATAAAAACTAGACAGAATCGTTCTCAGAATCTACTTTGTGATGTGTGCGTGCAACTCACGGAGATTAACCTTTCTTTTCATAGAGAAGTTTGGAAAGAGTCTGTCTGTAAGGTCTGCAAGTGGATATTTAGATTTCTGTGAGGCCTTCGTTGCAAACGGGATTTCTTCATATACTGCCCGACAGAAGAATTCTGTTACTACTTTCTGTTGTGTGCATTCAACTCACAGAGTTGAACCTTCCTATATTCAGAGCAGTTTTGAAACACTCTTTTTGTGGAATTTGCAAGTGAAGATTTCAAGGGATTTGAGGCCAATCTTAGAAATGGAAATATCTTCGAATTAAAACTACACAGAATCATTCGCAGAAACTAGTTTGTGATGTGTGCGTTCAACTCACAGAGTTTAACGTTTCTTTTCATAGAGCAGTTTGGAAACGCTGTCTTTGTAAAGTCTGCAAGTGGATATTAGGACCTCTTTGAGGCCTTCGTTGGAAACGGGATTTCCTCCTATAATGCTAGACAGAAGAATTCCCAGTCACTTCTTTGTGTTGTGTGCATTCAACTCAGAGATTTGAACCTTCCTTTAGAGAGAGCACATTTGAAACACTCTTTTTGTGTAATTTGCTAGTGCAGATTTCAAGCTCTTCGAGGACAATGGTAGGAAAGGAAATATCTTTGTATTAAAACTAGACAAAATCATTCTCAGAAACTACTTTGTGATGTGTGCGTTCCACTCACAGACTTTAACCTTTCTTTTAATTGAGCAGTTTGGAAACACTCTCTTTGTAAAGTCTGCAGTAGGATATTTGGACCTCTTTGAGGCCTTCGTTGGAAATGGGATTTCTTCATATAATGCTAGATAGAAGAATTCTCAGTAACTTGTTTGTGTTGTGTGTATTCAACTAACAGAGTTGAACCTTCCTTTAGAAAGAGCAGTTTTCAAACACTCTGTTTGTGCAATTTCCAATGGAGATTTCTAGGGATTTGAGGCCAGTCTTAGAAATGGAAATATCTTTGTATAAAAACTAGACAGTGTCATTCTGAGATACTACCTTGTGATGTGTGTGTTCAACTCACAGAGTTTAACCTTTCTTTTCATAGAGCTGTTTGGAAACACTCTATTTGTAAAGTCTGCAAGTGGATATTTGGACCTCTTTGAGGCCTTCTTTGGAAACGGGATTTCTTCCTGTAATGCTAGACAGCAGTATTCTCAGTCACTTCTTTGTGTTGTGTGCATTCAACTCAGAGATTTGAACCTTCCTTTAGAGAGAGCACATTTGAAACACTCTTTTTGTGTAATTTGCTAGTGCAGATTTCAAGCTCTTCGAGGACAATGGTAGAAAAGGAAATATCTTCGTATGAAAACTAGACAAACTCATTCTCAGAAACTACTTTGTGATGTGTGCATTCCACTCACAGAGTTTAACCTTTCTTTTAATTGAGCAGTTTGGAAACACTATTTTTGTAAAGTCTGCAAGTGGATATTTGGACTTCTTTGAGCCCTTCGTTGGAAACGGGATTTCTCCATATACTGCTAGACCGAAGCATTTTCAGTAACTACTTTGTGTTGTGTGTATTCAACTCACAGATTTGAACCTTTCTTTAGACAGAGCAGATTTGAAACGCTCTTTTCGTGGCTTTTGCATGTGGAGGTTTCAAACGATTTGAGGCCAATGGTAGAAAAGGAAATATCTTCGTATAAAAACTAGAGAGAATCATTCTCAGAAATTACTTTCTGATGTGTGCGTGCAACTCACGGAGATTAACCTTTCTTTTCATAGAGCAGTTTGGAAAGACTCTGTCTGTAAGGTCTGCAAGTGGATATATAGATTTCTGTGAGGCCTTCGTTGCAAACGGGATTTCTTCATATACTCACAGACAGAAGAATTCTCAGTAACTCTTTGTGTTGTGTGCATTCAACTCACGGAGTTGAACCTTCCTTTATTCAGAGCAGTTTTGAAACACTCTTTTTGTGGAATTTGCAAGTGGAGATTTCAAGGGATTTGAGGCCAATCTTAGAAATGGAAATATCTTCGAATTAAAACTACACAGAATCGTTCGCAGAAACTAGTTTGTGATGTGTGCGTTCAACTCACAGAGTTTAACGTTTCTTTTCATAGAGCAGTTTGGAAACGCTCTCTTTGTAAAGTCTCCAAGTGGATATTTGGAGCTCTTTGAGCCCTTCGTTGGAAACGGGACTTCTTCATATAATGCTAGACAGAAGAATACTCAGTAACTTCTTTGTGCTGTGTGTATTCAACTCACAGAGTTGAACTTTTCTTTAGACAGAGCAGATTTGATACTCTCTTTTCGTGGGTTTTGCCAGAGGAGATTTCAAGGCATTGGAGGCCAATGGTAGAAAAGAAAATATCTTCGTATAATAACTAAACAGAATCATTCTCAGAAACTTCTTTGTGATGTGTGCGTTCAACTCACAGAGTTTAACCTTTCTTTTCATAGAGCAGGTTGGAAGCACTCTCTTTGTAAAGTCTGCAAGCAGATATTTGGACCTTTTTGAGGCCTTCGTTGGAAACGGGATTTCTTCATATACTGCTAGACCGAAGAATTCTCAGTAACTTCTTTGGGTTGTGTGTATTGAATTCACAGAGTTGAACCTTTCTTTAGACCGAGCAGATTTGAAACTCTCCTTTCGTTGCTTTTGCAAGTGGAGATTTCAAGCGATTTGAGGCCAATTGTAGAAAAGGAAATATCTTCGTATAAAAACTAGACAGAACAATTCTCAGAAACTGCTCTGTGATTTGTGCGTTCAACTCACAGATTTTAAACTTTCTTTTCATAGAGCAGTTTGGAAACACTCTTTTTGTAAAGTCTGCAAGCGGATATTTGGACCTCTTTCAGGCCTTCTTTGGAAACGGGATTTCTCCATATACTGCTAGCCCGAAGCATTTTCAGTAACTACTTTGTGTTGTGTGTATTCAACTCACAGATTTGAACCTTTCTTTAGACAGAGCAGATTTGAAACGCTCTTTTCGTGGCTTTTGCAAGTAAGGTTTCAAGCGATTTGAGGCCAATGGTAGAAAAGGAAATATCTTCGTATAAAAACTAGACAGAATCATTCTCAGAATCTACTTTGTGATGTGTGCGTGCAACTCACGGAGATTAACCTTTCTTTTCATAGAGAAGTTTGGAAACACTCTGTCTGTAAGGTCTGCAAGTGGATATTTAGATTTCTGTGAGGCCTTCGTTGCAAACGGGATTTCTTCATATACTGCCCGACAGAAGAATTCTGTTACTACTTTCTGTTGTGTGCATTCAACTCACACAGTTGAACCTTCCTATATTCAGAGCAGTTTTGAAACACTCTTTTTGTGGAATTTGCAAGTGGAGATTTCAAGGGATTTGAGGCCAATCTTAGAAATGGAAATATCTTCGAATTAAAACTACACAGAATCATTCGCAGAAACTAGTTTGTGATGTGTGCGTTGAACTCACAGAGTTTAACGTTTCTTTTCATAGAGCAGTTTGGAAACGCTGTCTTTGTAAAGTCTGCAAGTGGATATTAGGACCTCTTTGAGGCCTTCGTTGGAAACGGGATTTCCTCCTATAATGCTAGACAGAAGAATTCCCAGTCACTTCTTTGTGTTGTGTGCATTCAACTCAGAGATTTGAACCTTCCTTTAGAGAGAGCACATGTAAAACACTCTTTTTGTGTAATTTGCTAGTTCAGATTTCAAGCTCTTCGAGGACAATGGTAGGAAAGGAAATATCTTCGTATTAAAACTAGACAAAATCATTCTCAGAAACTACTTTGTGATGTGTGCGTTCCACTCACAGAGTTTAACCTTTCTTTTAATTGAGCAGTTTGGAAACACTCTCTTTGTAAAGCCTGCAGTAGGATATTTGGACCTCTTTGAGGCCTTCGTTGGAAACGGGATTTCTTCATATAATGCTAGATAGAAGAATTCTCAGTAACTTGTTTGTGTGGTGTGTATTCAACTAACAGAGTTGAACCTTCCTTTAGAAAGAGCAGTTTTCAAACACTCTGTTTGTGCAATTTCCAATGGAGATTTCTAGGGATTTGAGGCCAGTCTTAGAAATGGAAATATCTTTGTATAAAAACTAGACAGTGTCATTCTGAGATACTACCTTGTGATGTGTGCGTTCAACTCACAGAGTTTAACCTTTCTTTTCATAGAGCAGTTTGGAAACACTCTATTTGTAAAGTCTGCAAGTGGATATTTGGACCCCTTTGAGGCCTTCTTTGGAAACGGGATTTCTCCATATACTGCTAGCCCGAAGCATTTTCAGTAACTACTTTGTGTTGTGTGTATTTAACTCACAGATTTGAACCTTTCCTTAGACAGAGCAGATTTGAAACGCTCTTTTCGTGGCTTTTGCAAGTAAAGATTTCAAGCGATTTGAGGCCAATAGTAGAAAAGGAAATATCTTCGTGTAAAAACTAGAGAGAATCGTTCTCAGAATCTACTTTGTGATGTGTGCGTGCAACTCACGGAGATTAACCTTTCTTTTCATAGAGAAGTTTGGAAAGAGTCTGTCTGTAAGGTCTGCAAGTGGATATTTAGATTTCTGTGAGGCCTTCGTTGCAAACGGGGTTTCTTCATATACTGCCCGACAGAAGAATTCTCAGTTACTACTTTCTGTTGTGTGCATTCAACTCACAGAGTTGAACCTTCCTTTATTCAGAGCAGTTTTGAAACACTCTTTTTGTGGAATTTGCAAGTGGAGATTTCAAGGGATTTGAGGCCAATCTTAGAAATGGAAATATCTTCGAATTAAAACTACACAGAATCATTCGCAGAAACTAGTTTGTGATGTGTGCGTTCAACTCACAGAGTTTAACCTTTCTTTTCATAGAGCAGTTTGGAAACGCTGTCTTTGTAAAGTCTGCAAGTGGATATTAGGACCTCTTTGAGGCCTTCGTTGGAAACGGGATTTCCTCCTATAATGCTAGACAGAAGAATTCCCAGTCACTTCTTTGTGTTGTGTGCATTCAACTCAGAGATTTGAACCTTCCTTTAGAGAGAGCACATTTGAAACACTCTTTTTGTGTAATTTGCTAGTGCAGATTTCAAGCTCTTCGAGGACAATGGTAGGAAAGGAAATATCTTCGTATTAAAACTAGACAAAATCATTCTCAGAAACTACTTTGTGATGTGTGCGTTCCACTCACAGAGTTTAACCTTTCTTTTAATTGAGCAGTTTGGAAACACTCTCTTTGTAAAGTCTGCAGTAGGATATTTGGACCTCTTTGAGGCCTTCATTGGAAACGGGATTTCTTCATATAATGCTAGATAGAAGAATTCTCAGTAACTTGTTTGTGTTGTGTGTATTCAACTAACAGAGTTGAACCTTCTTTTAGAAAGAGCAGTTTTCAAACACTCTGTTTGTGCAATTTCCAATGGAGATTTCTAGGGATTTGAGGCCAGTCTTAGAAATGGAAATATCTTTGTATAAAAACTAGACAGTGTCATTCTGAGATACTACCTTGTGATGTGTGCGTTCAACTCACAGAGTTTAACCTTTCTTTTCATAGAGCAGTTTGGAAACACTCTATTTGTAAAGTCTGCAAGTGGATATTTGGACCTCTTTGAGGCCTTCGTTGGAAACGGGATTTCTTCCTATAATGCTAGACAGAAGTATTCTCAGTCACTTCTTTGTGTTGTGTGCATTCAACTCAGAGATTTGAACCTTCCTTTAGAGAGAGCACATTTGAAACACTCTTTTTGTGTAATTTGCTAGTGCAGATTTCAAGCTCTTCGAGGACAATGGTAGAAAAGGAAATATCGTCGTATGAAAACTAGACAAAATCATTCTCAGAAACTACTTTGTGATGTGTGCGTTCCACTCACAGAGTTTAACCTTTCTTTTAATTGAGCAGTTTGGAAACACTATTTTTGTAAAGTCTGCAAGTGGATATTTGGACTTCTTTGAGCCCTTCGTTGGAAACGGGATTTCTCCATATACTGCTAGACTGAAGCATTTTCAGTAACTACTTTGTGTTGTGTGTATTCAACTCACAGATTTGAACCTTTCTTTAGACAGAGCAGATTTGAAACGCTCTTTTCGTGGCTTTTGCATGTGGAGGTTTCAAACGATTTGAGGCCAATGGTAGAAAAGGAAATATCTTCGTAGAAAAACTAGAGAGAATCATTCTCAGAAATTACTTTCTGATGTGTGCGTGCAACTCACGGAGATTAACCTTTCCTTTCATAGAGCAGTTTGGAAAGACTCTGTCTGTAAGGTCTGCAAGTGGATATTTAGATTTCTGTGAGGCCTTCGTTGCAAACGGGATTTCTTCATATACTCACAGACAGAAGAATTCTCAGTAACTCTTTGTGTTGTGTGCATTCAACTCACGGAGTTGAACCTTCCTTTATTCAGAGCAGTTTTGAAACACTCTTTTTGTGGAATTTGCCAGTGGAGATTTCAAGGGATTTGAGGCCAATCTTAGAAATGGAAATATCTTCGAATTAAAACTACACAGAATCGTTCGCAGAAACTAGTTTGTGATGTGTGTGTTCAACTCACAGAGTTTAACGTTTCTTTTCATAGAGCAGTTTGGAAACGCTCTCTTTGTAAAGTCTCCAAGTGGATATTTGGAGCTGTTTGAGCCCTTCGTTGGAAACGGGACTTCTTCATATAATGCTAGACAGAAGAATACTCAGTAACTTCTTTGTGCTGTGTGTATTCAACTCACAGAGTTGAACTTTTCTTTAGACAGAGCAGATTTGATACTCTCTTTTCGTGGCTTTTGCCAGAGGAGATTTCAAGTCATTGGAGGCCAATGGTAGGAAAGAAAATATCTTCGTATAATAACTAAACAGAATCATTCTCAGAAACTTCTTTGTGATGTGTGCGTTCAACTCACAGAGTTTAACCTTTCTTTTCATAGAGCAGGTTGGAAGCACTCTCTTTGTAAAGTCTGCAAGCAGATATTTGGACCTTTTTGAGGCCTTCGTTGGAAACGGGATTTCTTCATATACTGCTAGACCGAAGAATTCTCAGTAACTTCTTTGGGTTGTGTGTATTCAATTCACAGAGTTGAACCTTTCTTTAGACCGAGCAGATTTGAAACTCTCCTTTCGTTGCTTTTGCAAGTGGAGATTTCAAGCGATTTGAGGCCAATTGTAGAAAAGGAAATATCTTCGTATAAAAACTAGACAGAACAATTCTCAGAAACTGCTCTGTGATTTGTGCGTTCAACTCACAGATTTTAAACTTTCTTTTAATTGAGCAGTTTGGAAACACTCTTTTTGTAAAGTCTGCAAGCGGATATTTGGACCTCTTTCAGGCCTTCTTTGGAAACGGGATTTCTCCATATACTGCTAGCCCGAAGAATTTTCAGTAACTACTTTGTGTTGTGTGTATTCAACTCACAGATTTGAACCTTTCTTTAGACAGAGCAGATTTGAAACGCTCTTTTCGTGGCTTTTGCAAGTAAAGATTTCAAGCGATTTGAGGCCAATGGTAGAAAAGGAAATATCTTCGTATAAAAACTAGACAGAATCATTCTCAGAATCTACTTTGTGATGTGTGCGTGCAACTCACGGAGATTAACCTTTCTTTTCATAGAGAAGTTTGGAAACACTCTGTCTGTAAGGTCTGCAAGTGGATATTTAGATTTCTGTGAGGCCTTCGTTGCAAACGGGATTTCTTCATATACTCACATACAGAAGAATTCTCAGTTACTACTTTCTGCTGTGTGCATTCAACTCACAGAGTTGAACCTTCCTTTATTCAGAGCAGTTTTGAAACACTCTTTTTGTGGAATTTGCAAGTGGAGATTTCAAGGGATTTGAGGCCAATCTTAGAAATGGAAATATCTTCGAATTAAAACTACACAGAATCATTCGCAGAAACTAGTTTGTGATGTGTGCGTTCAACTCACAGAGTTTAACGTTTCTTTTCATAGAGCAGTTTGGAAACGCTGTCTTTGTAAAGTCGGCAAGTGGATATTAGGACCTCTTTCAGGCCTTCGTTGGAAACGGGATTTCCTCCTATAATGCTAGACAGAAGAATTCCCAGTCACTTCTTTGTGTTGTGTGCATTCAACTCAGAGATTTGAACCTTCCTTTAGAGAGAGCACATTTAAAACACTCTTTTTGTGTAATTTGCTAGTGCAGATTTCAAGCTCTTCGAGGACAATGGTAGGAAAGGAAATATCTTCGTATTAAAACTAGACAAAATCATTCTCAGAAACTACTTTGTGATGTGTGCGTTCCACTCACAGAGTTTAACCTTTCTTTTAATTGAGCAGTTTGCAAACACTCTCTTTGTAAAGCCTGCAGTAGGATATTTGGACCTCTTTGAGGCCTTCGTTGGAAACGGGATTTCTTCATATAATGCTAGATAGAAGAATTCTCAGTAACTTGTTTGTGTTGTGTGTATTCAACTAACAGAGTTGAACCTTCCTTTAGAAAGAGCAGTTTTCAAACACTCTGTTTGTGCAATTTCCAATGGAGATTTCTAGGGATTTGAGGCCAGTCTTAGAAATGGAAATATCTTTGTATAAAAACTAGACAGTGTCATTCTGAGATACTACCTTGTGATGTGTGCGTTCAACTCACAGAGTTTAACCTTTCTTTTCATAGAGCAGTTTGGAAACACTCTATTTGTAAAGTCTGCAAGAGGATATTTGGACTTCTTTGAGGCCTTCGTTGGAAACGGGATTTCTTCCTATAATGCTAGACAGAAGTATTCTCAGTCACTTCTTTGTGTTGTGTGCATTCAACTCAGAGATTTGAACCTTCCTTTAGAGAGAGCACATTTGAAACACTCTATTTGTGTAATTTGCTAGTACAGATTTCAAGCTCTTCAAGGACAATGGTAGAAAAGGAAATATTCTTCGTATGAAAACGAGACAAACTCATTCTCAGAAACTACTTTGTGATGTGTGCGTTCCACTCACAGAGTTTAACCTTTCTTTTAATTGAGCAGTTTGGAAACACTATTTTTGTAAAGTCTGCAAGTGGATATTTGGACTTCTTTGAGCCCTTCGTTGGAAACGGGATTTCTCCATATACTGCTAGACCGAAGCATTTTCAGTAACTACTTTGTGTTGTGTGTATTCAACTCACAGATTTGAACCTTTCTTTAGACAGAGCAGATTTGAAACGCTCTTTTCGTGGCTTTTGCATGTGGAGGTTTCAAACGATTTGAGGCCAATGGTAGAAAAGGAAATATCTTCGTATAAAAACTAGAGAGAATCATTCTCAGAAGCTTCTTTGTGATGTGTGCGTTCAACTCACAGAGTTTAACCTTTCTTTTCATAGAGCAGGTTAGAAGCACTCTCTTTGTAAAGTCTGCAAGCAGATATTTGGACCTTTTTGAGGCCTTCGTTGGAAACGGGATTTCTTCATATACTGCTAGACAGAAGAATTCTCAGTAACTTCTTTGTGTTGTGTGTATTCAACTCACAGAGTTTAACCTTCCTTTATTCGGAGCAGTTTTGAAACACTCTTTTTGTGGAATTTGCAAGTGGAGATTTCAAGCGATTTGAGGGCAATCTTAGAAATGGAAATATCTTCGAATTAATACTACACAGAATCGTTCGCAGAAACTAGCTTGTGATGTGTGCGTTCAACTCACAGAGTTTAACGTTTCTTTTCATAGAGCAGTTTGGAAACGCTCTCTTTGTAAAGTCTCCAAGTGGATATTTGGAGCTCTTTGAGCCCTTCGTTGGAAACGGGACTTCTTCATATAATGCTAGACAGAAGAATACTCAGTAACTTCTTTGTGCTGTGTGTATTCAACTCACAGAGTTGAACTTTTCTTTAGACAGAGCAGATTTGATACTCTCTTTTCGTGGGTTTTGCCAGAGGAGATTTCAAGTCATTGGAGGCCAATGGTAGAAAAGAAAATATCTTCGTATAATAACTAAACAGAACAATTCTCAGAAACTACTCTGTGATGTGTGCGTGCAACTCACAGAGATTAACCTTTGTTTGCATACAGCAGTTTGGATAGACTCTGTCTGTAAAGTCTGTAAGTGGATATTTGGACATCTTTGAGGCCTTCGTTGGAAACGGGATTTCTTCATATACTGCTAGACCGAAGAATTCTCAGTAACATCTTTGGGTTGTGTGTATTCAATTCACAGAGTTGAACCTTTCTTTAGACTGAGCAGAGTTGAAACTCTCCTTTCGTTGCTTTTGCAAGTGGAGATTTCAAGCGATTTGAGGCCAATTGTAGAAAAGGAAATATCTTCGTATAAAAACTGGACAGAACAATTCTCAGAAACTGCTCTGTGATTTGTGCGTTGAACTCACAGATTTTAAACTTTCTTTTCATAGAGCAGTTTGGAAACACTCTTTTTGTAAAGTCTGCAAGCGGATATTTGGACCTCTTTCAGGCCTTCTTTGGAAACGGGATTTCTCCATATACTGCTAGCCCGAAGAATTTTCAGTAACTACTTTGTGTTGTGTGTATTCAACTCACAGATTTGAACCTTTCTTTAGACAGAGCAGATTTGAAACGTTCTTTTCGTGGCTTTTGCAAGTAAAGATTTCAAGCGATTTGAGGCCAATGGTAGAAAAGGAAATATCTTCGTATAAAAACTAGACAGAATCATTCTCAGAATCTACTTTGTGATGTGTGCGTGCAACTCACGGAGATTAACCTTTCTTTTCATAGAGAAGTTTGGAAACACTCTGTCTGTAAGGTCTGCAAGTGGATATTTAGATTTCTGTGAGGCCTTCGTTGCAAACGGGATTTCTTCATATACTGCCCGACAGAAGAATTCTCAGTTACTACTTTCTGTTGTGTGCATTCAACTCACAGAGTTGAATCTTCCTTTATTCAGAGCAGTTTTGAAACACTCTTTTTGTGGAATTTGCAAGTGGAGATTTCAAGGGATTTGAGGCCAATCTTAGAAATGGAAATATCTTCGAATTAAAACTACACAGAATCATTCGCAGAAACTAGTTTGTGATGTGTGCGTTCAACTCACAGAGTTTAACGTTTCTTTTCATAGAGCAGTTTGGAAACGCTGTCTTTGTAAAGTCTGCAAGTGGATATTAGGACCTCTTTGAGGCCTTCGTTGGAAACGGGATTTCCTCCTATAATGCTAGACAGAAGAATTCCCAGTCACTTCTTTGTGTTGTGTGCATTCAACTCAGAGATTTGAACCTTCCTTTAGAGAGAGCACATGTAAAACACTATTTTTGTGTAATTTGCTAGTGCAGATTTCAAGCTCTTCGAGGACAATGGTAGGAAAGGAAATATCTTCGTATTAAAACTAGACAAAATCATTCTCAGAAACTACTTTGTGATGTGTGCGTTCCACTCACAGAGTTTAACCTTTCTTTTAATTGAGCAGTTTGGAAACACTCTCTTTGTAAAGTCTGCAGTAGGATATTTGGACCTCTTTGAGGCCTTCGTTGGAAACGGGATTTCTTCATATAATGCTAGATAGAAGAATTCTCAGTAACTTGTTTGTGTTGTTTGTATTCAACTAACAGAGTTGAACCTTCCTTTAGAAAGAGCAGTTTTCAAACACTCTGTTTGTGCAATTTCCAATGGAGATTTCTAGGGATTTGAGGCCAGTCTTAGAAATGGAAATATCTTTGTATAAAAACTAGACAGTGTCATTCTGAGATACTACCTTGTGATGTGGGCGTTCAACTCACAGAGTTTAACCTTTCTTTTCATAGAGCAGGTTGGAAACACTCTATTTGTAAAGTCTGCAAGTGGATATTTGGACCTCTTTGAGGCCTTCTTTGGAAACGGGATTTCTTCCTGTAATGGTGGGCAGCAGTATTCTCAGTCACTTCTTTTTGTAGTGTGCATTCAACTCAGAGATTTGAACCTTCCTTTAGAGAGAGCACATTTGAAACACTCTTTCTGTGTAATTTGCTAGTGCACATTTCAAGCTCTTCGAGGACAATGGTAGAAAAGGAAATATCTTCGTATGAAAACTAGACAAAATCATTCTCAGAAACTACTTTGTGATGTGTGCGTTCCACTCACAGAGTTTAACCTTTCTTTTAATTGAGCAGTTTGGAAACACTATTTTTGTAAAGTCTGCAAGTGGATATTTGGACTTTTTTGAGCCCTTCGTTTGAAACGGGATTTCTCCATATACTGCTAGACAGAAGCATTTTCAGTAACTACTTTGTGTTGTCTGTATTCAACTCACAGATTTGAACCTTTCTTTAGACAGAGCAGATTTGAAACGCTCTTTTCGTGGCTTTTGCATGTGGAGGTTTCAAACGATTTGAGGCCAATGGTAGAAAAGGAAATATCTTCGTATAAAAACTAGAGAGAATCATTCTCAGAAATTACTTTCTGATGTGTGCGTGCAACTCACGGAGATTAACCTTTCTTTTCATAGAGCAGTTTGGAAAGACTCTGTCTGTAAGGTCTGCAAGTGGATATTTAGATTTCTGTGAGGCCTTCGTTGCAAACGGGATTTCTTCATATACTCACAGACAGAAGTATTCTCAGTCACTTCTTTGTGTTGTGTGCATTCAACTCAGAGATTTGAACCTTCCTTTAGAGAGAGCACATTTTAAACACTCTTTTTGTGTAATTTGCTAGTGCAGATTTCAAGCTCTTCGAGGACAATGGTAGGAAAGGAAATATCTTCGTATTAAAACTAGACAAAATCATTCTCAGAAACTACTTTGCGATGTGTGCGTTCCACTCACAGAGTTTAACGTTTCTTTTCATAGAGCAGTTTGGAAACGCTCTCTTTGTAAAGTCTCCAAGTGGATATTTGGAGCTGTTTGAGCCCTTCGTTGGAAACGGGACTTCTTCATATAATGCTAGACAGAAGAATACTCAGTAACTTCTTTGTGCTGTGTGTATTCAACTCACAGAGGTGAACTTTTCTTTAGACAGAGCAGATTTGATACTCTCTTTTCGTGGCTTTTGCCAGAGGAGATTTCAAGTCATTGGAGGCCAATGGTAGAAAAGAAAATATCTTCGTATAATAACTAAACAGAATCATTCTCAGAAACTTCTTTGTGATGTGTGCGTTCAACTCACAGAGTTTAACCTTTCTTTTCATAGAGCAGGTTGGAAGCACTCTCTTTGTAAAGTCTGCAAGCAGATATTTGGACCTTTTTGAGGCCTTCGTTGGAAACGGGATTTCTTCATATACTGCTAGACCGAAGAATTCTCAGTAACTTCTTTGGGTTGTGTGTATTCAATTCACAGAGTTGAACCTTTCTTTAGACCGAGCAGATTTGAAACTCTCCTTTCGTTGCTTTTGCAAGTGGAGATTTCAAGCGATTTGAGGCCAATTGTAGAAAAGGAAATATCTTCGTATAAAACTAGACAGAACAATTCTCAGAAACTGCTCTGTGATTTGTGCGTTCAACTCACAGATTTTAAACTTTCTTTTCATAGAGCAGTTTGGAAACACTCTTTTTGTAAAGTCTGCAAGCGGATATTTGGACCTCTTTCAGGCCTTCTTTGGAAGCGGGATTTCTCCATATACTGCTAGCCCAAAGAATTTTCAGTAACTACTTTGTGTTGTGTGTATTCAACTCACAGATTTGAACCTTTCTTTAGACAGAGCAGATTTGAAACGCTCTTTTCGTGGCTTTTGCAAGTAAAGATTTCAAGCGATTTGAGGCCAATGGTAGAAAAGGAAATATCTTCGTATAAAAACTAGACAGAATCATTCTCAGAATCTACTTTGTGATGTGTGCGTGCAACTCACGCAGATTAACCTTTCTTTTCATAGAGAAGTTTGGAAACACTCTGTCTGTAAGGTTTGCAAGTGGATATTTAGATTTCTGTGAGGCCTTCGTTGCAAACGGGATTTCTTCATATACTGTCCGACAGAAGAATTCTCAGTTACTACTTTCAGTTGTGTGCATTCAACTTACAGAGTTGAACCTTCCTTTATTCAGAGCAGTTTTGAAACACTCTTTTTGTGGAATTTGCAAGTGGAGATTTCAAGGGATTTGAGGCCAATCTTAGAAATGGAAATATCTTCGAATTAAAACTACACAGAATCGTTCGCAGAAACTAGTTTGTGATGTGTGCGTTCAACTCACAGAGTTTAACGTTTCTTTTCATAGAGCAGTTTGGAAACGCTGTCTTTGTAAAGTCTGCAAGTGGATATTAGGACCTCTTTGAGGCCTTCGTTGGAAACGGGATTTCCTCCTGTAAGGCTAGACAGAAGAATTCCCAGTCACTTCTTTGTGTTGTGTGCATTCAACTCAGAGATTTGAACCTTCCTTTAGAGAGAGCACATTTAAAACACTCTTTTTGTGTAATTTGCTAGTGCAGATTTCAAGCTCTTCGAGGACAATGGTAGGAAAGGAAATATCTTCGTATTAAAACTAGACAAAATCATTCTCAGAAACTACTTTGTGATGTGTGCGTTCCACTCACAGAGTTTAACCTTTCTTTTAATTGAGCAGTTTGGAAACACTCTCTTTGTAAAGTCTGCAGTAGGATATTTGGACCTCTTTGAGGCCTTCGTTGGAAACGGGATTTCTTCATATAATGCTAGATAGAAGAATTCTCAGTAACTTGTTTGTGTTGTGTGTATTCAACTAACAGAGTTGAACCTTCCTTTAGAAAGAGCAGTTTTCAAACACTCTGTTTGTGCAATTTCCAATGGAGATTTCTAGGGATTTGAGGCCAGTCTTAGAAATGGAAATATCTTTGTATAAAAACTAGACAGTGTCATTCTGAGATACTACCTTGTGATGTGTGCGTTCAACTCACAGAGTTTAACCTTTCTTTTCATAGAGCAGTTTGGAAACGCTGTCTTTGTAAAGTCTGCAAGTGGATATTTGGACCTCTTTGAGGCCTTCGTTGGAAACGGGATTTCTTCCTATAATGCTAGACAGAAGTATT
Organism: Homo sapiens; assembly: GCF_000001405.40. Classification (NCBI taxonomy): domain Eukaryota; kingdom Metazoa; phylum Chordata; class Mammalia; order Primates; family Hominidae; genus Homo; species Homo sapiens. The sequence goes on from NC_000010.11 coordinate 39,850,456, forward strand.
CTCAGTCACTTCTTTGTGTTGTGTGCATTCAACTCAGAGATTTGAACCTTCCTTTAGAGAGAGCACATTTGAAACACTCTTTTTGTGTAATTTGCTAGTGCAGATTTCAAGCTCTTCGAGGACAATGGTAGAAAAGGAAACATCTTCGTATGAAAACTAGACAAACTCATTCTCAGAAACTACTTTGTGATGTGTGCGTTCCACTCACAGAGTTTAACCTTTCTTTTAATTGAGCAGTTTGGAAACACTATTTTTGTAAAGTCTGCAAGTGGATATTTGGACTTCTTTGAACCCTTCGTTGGAAACGGGATTTCTCCATATACTGCTAGACCGAAGCATTTTCAGTAATTACTTTGTGTTGTGTGTATTCAACTCACAGATTTGAACCTTTCTTTAGACAGAGCAGATTTGAAACGCTCTTTTCGTGGCTTTTGCATGTGGAGGTTTCAAACGATTTGAGGCCAATGGTAGAAAAGGAAATATCTTCGTATATAAACTAGAGAGAATCATTCTCAGAAATTACTTTCTGATGTGTGCGTGCAACTCACGGAGATTAACCTTTCTTTTCATAGAGCAGTTTGGAAAGACTCTGTCTGTAAGGTCTGCAAGTGGATATTTAGATTTCTGGGAGGCCTTCGTTGCAAATGGGATTTCTTCATATACTCACAGACAGAAGAATTCTCAGTAACTCTTTGTGTTGTGTGCATTCAACTCACGGAGTTGAACCTTCCTTTATTCAGAGCAGTTTTGAAACACTCTTTTTGTGGAATTTGCAAGTGGAGATTTCAAGGGATTTGAGGCCAATCTTAGAAATGGAAATATCTTCGAATTAAAACTACACAGAATCGTTCGCAGAAACTAGTTTGTGATGTGTGCGTTCAACTCACAGAGTTTAACGTTTCTTTTCATAGAGCAGTTTGGAAACGCTCTCTTTGTAAAGTCTCCAAGTGGATATTTGGAGCTCTTTGAGCCCTTCGTTGGAAACGGGACTTCTTCATATAATGCTAGACAGAAGAATACTCAGTAACTTCTTTGTGCTGTGTGTATTCAACTCACAGAGTTGAACTTTTCTTTAGACAGAGTAGATTTGATACTCTCTTTTCGTGGCTTTTGCCAGAGGAGATTTCAAGTCATTGGAGGCCAATGGTAGAAAAGAAAATATCTTCATATAATAACTAAACAGAATCATTCTCAGAAACGTCTTTGTGATGTGTGCGTTCAACTCACAGAGTTTAACCTTTCTTTTCATAGAGCAGGTTGGAAGCACTCTCTTTGTAAAGTCTGCAAGCAGATATTTGGACCTTTTTGAGGCCTTCGTTGGAAACGGGATTTCTTCATATACTGCTAGACCGAAGAATTCTCAGTAACTTCTTTGGGTTGTGTGTATTCAATTCACAGAGTTGAACCTTTCTTTCGACAGAGCAGATTTGAAACTCTCCTTCCGTTGCTTTTGCAAGTGGAGATTTCAAGCGATATGAGGCCAATGGTAGAAAAGGAAATATCTTCGTACAAAAACTAGACAGAACAATTCTCAGAAACTGCCCTGTGATTTGTACGTTCAACTCACAGATTTTAAACTTTCTTTTCATAGAGCAGTTTGGAAACACTCTTTTTGTAAAGTGTGCAAGCGGATATTTGGACCTCTTTCAGGCCTTCTTTGGAAACGGGATTTCTCCATATACTGCTAGCCCGAAGCATTTTCAGTAACTACTTTGTGTTGTGTGTATTCAACTCACAGATTTGAACCTTTCTTTAGACAGAGCAGATTTGAAACGCTCTTTTCGTGGCTTTTGCAAGTAAAGATTTCAAGCGATTTGAGGCCAATGGTAGAAAAGGAAATATCTTCGTATAAAAACTAGACAGAATCATTCTCAGAATCTACTTTGTGATGTGTGCGTGCAACTCACAGAGATTAACCTTTCTTTTCATAGAGAAGTTTGGAAACACTCTGTCTGTAAGGTCTGCAAGTGGATATTTAGATTTCTGTGAGGCCTTCGTTGCAAACGGGATTTCTTCATATACTGTCCGACAGAAGAATTCTCAGTAACTACTTTGTGTTGTGTGCATTCATCTCACAGATTTGAACCTTCCTTTATTCAGAGCAGTTTTGAAACACACTTTTTGTGGAAATTGCAAGTGGAGATTTCAAGGGATTTGAGGCCAATCTTAGAAATGGAAATATCTTCGAATTAAAACTACACAGAAATCATTCGCAGAAACTAGTTTGTGATGTGTGCGTTCAACTCACAGAGTTTAACGTTTCTTTTCATAGAGCAGTTTGGAAACGCTGTCTTTGTAAAGTCTGCAAGTGGATATTAGGACCTCTTTGAGGCCTTCGTTGGAAACGGGATTTCCTCCTATAATGCTAGACAGAAGAATTCCCAGTCACTCCTTTGTGTTGTGTGCATTCAACTCAGAGATTTGAACCTTCCTTTAGAGAGAGCACATTTAAAACACTCTTTTTGTGTAATTTGCTAGTGCAGATTTCAAGCTCTTCGAGGACAATGGTAGGAAAGGATATATCTTCGTATGAAAACTAGACAAAATCATTCTCAGAAACTACTTTGTGATGTGTGCGTTCCACTCACAGAGTTTAACCTTTCTTTTAATTGAGCAGTTTGGAAACACTCTCTTTGTAAAGTCTGCAGTAGGATATTTGGACCTCTTTGAGGCCTTCGTTGGAAACGGGATTTCTTCATATAATGCTAGATAGAAGAGTTCTCAGTAACTTGTTTGTGTTGTGTGTATTCAACTAACAGAGTTGAACCTTCCTTTAGAAAGAGCAGTTTTCAAACACTCTGTTTGTGCAATTTCCAATGGAGATTTCTAGGGATTTGAGGCCAGTCTTAGAAATGGAAATATCTTTGTATAAAAACTAGACAGTGTCATTCTGAGATACTACCTTGTGATGTGTGCGTTCAACTCACAGAGTTTAACCTTTCTTTTCATAGAGCAGTTTGGAAACACTCTATTTGTAAAGTCTGCAAGTGGATATTTGGACCTCTTTGAGGCCTTCGTTGGAAACGGGATTTCTTCCTGTAATGCTAGACAGAAGTATTCTCAGTCACTTCTTTGTGTTGTGTGCATTCACCTCAGAGATTTGAACCTTCCTTTAGAGAGAGCACATTTGAAACACTCTTTTTGTGTAATTTGCTAGTGCAGATTTCAAGCTCTTCGAGGACAATGGTAGGAAAGGAAATATCTTCGTATTAAAACTAGACAAAATCATTCTCAGAAACTACTTTGTGATGTGTGCGTTCCACTCACAGAGTTTAACCTTTCTTTTAATTGAGCAGTTTGGAAACACTCTCTTTGTAAAGTCTGCAGTAGGATATTTGGACCTCTTTGAGGCCTTCGTTGGAAACGGGATTTCTTCATATAATGCTAGATAGAAGAATTCTCAGTAACTTGTTTGTGTTGTGTGTATTCAACTAACAGAGTTGAACCTTCCTTTAGAAAGAGCAGTTTTCAAACACTCTGTTTGTGCAATTTCCAATGGAGATTTCTAGGGATTTGATGCCAGTCTTAGAAATGGAAATATCTTTGTATAAAAACTAGACAGTGTCATTCTGAGATACTACCTTGTGATGTGTGCGTTCAACTCACAGAGTTTAACCTTTGTTTTCATAGAGCAGTTTGGAAACACTCTATTTGTAAAGTCTGCAAGTGGATATTTGGACCTCTTTGAGGCCTTCGTTGGAAACGGGATTTCTTCCTATAATGCTAGACAGAAGTATTCTCAGTCACTTCTTTGTGTTGTGTGCATTCAACTCAGAGATTTGAACCTTCCTTTAGAGAGAGCACATTTGAAACACTCTTTTTGTGTATTTTGCTAGTGCAGATTTCAAGCTCTTCGAGGACAATGGTAGAAAAGGCAATATCTTCGTATGAAAACTAGACAAACTCATTCTCAGAAACTACTTTGTGATGTGTGCGTTCCACTCACAGAGTTTAACCTTTCTTTTAATTGAGCAGTTTGGAAACACTATTTTTGTAAACTCTGCAAGTGGATATTTGGACTTCTTTGAGCCCTTCGTTGGAAACGGGATTTCTCCATATACTGCTAGACCGAAGCATTTTCAGTAACTACTTTGTGTTGTGTGTATTCAACTCACAGATTTGAACCTTTCTTTAGACAGAGCAGATTTGAAACGCTCTTTTCGTGGCTTTTGCATGTGGAGGTTTCAAACGATTTGAGGCCAATGGTAGAAAAGGAAATATCTTCGTATAAAAACTAGAGAGAATCATTCTCAGAAATTACTTTCTGATGTGTGCGTGCAACTCACAGCAGTATTAACCTTTCTTTTCATAGAGCAGTTTGGAAAGACTCTGTCTGTAAGGTCTGCAAGTGGATATTTAGATTTCTGGGAGGCCTTCGTTGCAAACGGGATTTCTTCATATACTCACAGACAGAAGAATTCTCAGTAACTCTTTGTGTTGTGTGCATTCAACTCACGGAGTTGAACCTTCCTTTATTCAGAGCAGTTTTGAAACACTCTTTTTGTGGAATTTGCAAGTGGAGATTTCAAGGGATTTGAGGCCAATCTTAGAAATGGAAATATCTTCGAATTAAAACTACACAGAATCGTTCGCAGAAACTAGTTTGTGATGTGTGCATTCAACTCACAGAGTTTAACGTTTCTTTTCATAGAGCAGTTTGGAAACGCTCTCTTTGTAAAGTCTCCAAGTGGATATTTGGAGCTCTTTGAGCCCTTCGTTGGAAACGGGACTTCTTCATATAATGCTAGACAGAAGAATACTCAGTAACTTCTTTGTGCTGTGTGTATTCAACTCACAGAGTTGAACTTTTCTTTAGACAGAGCAGATGTGATACTCTCTTTTCGTGGGTTTTGCCAGAGGAGATTTCAAGTCATTGGAGGCCAATGGTAGAAAAGAAAATATCTTCGTATAATAACTAAACAGAATCATTCTCAGAAACTTCTTTGTGATGTGTGCATTCAACTCACAGAGTTTAACCTTTCTTTTCATAGAGCAGGTTGGAAGCACTCTCTTTGTAAAATCTGCAAGCAGATATTTGGACCTTTTTGAGGCCTTCTTTGGAAACGGGATTTCTTCATATACTGCTAGACCGAAGAATTCTCAGTAACATCTTTGGGTTGTGTGTATTCAATTCACAGAGTTGAACTTTTCTTTAGACCGAGCAGATTTGAAACTCTCCTTTCGTTGCTTTTGCAAGTGGAGATTTCAAGCGATTTGAGGCCAATTGTAGAAAAGGAAATATCTTCGTATAAAAACTAGACAGAACAATTCTCAGAAACTGCTCTGTGATTTGTGCGTTCAACTCACAGATTTTAAACTTTCTTTTCATAGAGCAGTTTGGAAACACTCTTTTTGTAAAGTCTGCAAGCGGATATTTGGACCACTTTCAGGCCTTCTTTGGAAACGGGATTTCTCCATATACTGCTAGCCCGAAGAATTTTCAGTAACTACTTTGTGTTGTGTGTATTCAACTCACAGATTTGAACCTTTCTTTAGACAGAGCAGATTTGAAACGCTCTTTTCGTGGCTTTTGCAAGTAAAGATTTCAAGCGATTTGAGGCCAATGGTAGAAAAGGAAATATCTTCGTATAAAAACTAGACAGAATCGTTCTCAGAATCTACTTTGTGATGTGTGCGTGCAACTCACGGAGATTAACCTTTCTTTTCATAGAGAAGTTTGGAAAGAGTCTGTCTGTAAAGTCTGCAAGTGGATATTTAGATTTCTGTGAGGCCTTCGTTGCAAACGGGATTTCTTCATATACTGCCCGACAGAAGAATTCTGTTACTACTTTCTGTTGTGTGCATTCAACTCACAGAGTTGAACCTTCCTATATTCAGAGCAGTTTTGAAACACTCTTTTTGTGGAATTTGCAAGTGAAGATTTCAAGGGATTTGAGGCCAATCTTAGAAATGGAAATATCTTCGAATTAAAACTACACAGAATCATTCGCAGAAACTAGTTTGTGATGTGTGCGTTCAACTCACAGAGTTTAACGTTTCTTTTCATAGAGCAGTTTGGAAACGCTGTCTTTGTAAAGTCTGCAAGTGGATATTAGGACCTCTTTGAGGCCTTCGTTGGAAACGGGATTTCCTCCTATAATGCTAGACAGAAGAATTCCCAGTCACTTCTTTGTGTTGTGTGCATTCAACTCAGAGATTTGAACCTTCCTTTAGAGAGAGCACATTTAAAACACTCTTTTTGTGTAATTTGCTAGTGCAGATTTCAAGCTCTTGGAGGACAATGGTAGGAAAGGAAATATCTTCGTATTAAAACTAGACAAAATCATTCTCAGAAACTACTTTGTGATGTGTGCGTTCCACTCACAGAGTTTAACCTTTCTTTTAATTGAGCAGTTTGGAAACACTCTCTTTGTAAAGTCTGCAGTAGGATATTTGGACCTCTTTGAGGCCTTCGTTGGAAACGGGATTTCTTCATATAATGCTAGATAGAAGAATTCTCAGTAACTTGTTTGTGTTGTGTGTATTCAACTAACAGAGTTGAACCTTCCTTTAGAAAGAGCAGTTTTCAAACACTCTGTTTGTGCAATTTCTAATGGAGATTTCTAGGGATTTGAGGCCAGTCTTAGAAATGGAAATATCTTTGTATAAAAACTAGACAGTGTCATTCTGAGATACTACCTTGTGATGTGTGCGTTCAACTCACAGAGTTTAACCTTTCTATTCATAGAGCAGTTTGGAAACACTCTATTTGTAAAGTCTGCAAGTGGATATTTGGACCTCTTTGAGGCCTTCGTTGGAAACGGGATTTCTTCCTATAATGGTAGACAGAAGTATTCTCAGTCACTTCTTTGTGTTGTGTGCATTCAACTCAGAGATTTGAACCTTCCTTTAGAGAGAGCACATTTGAAACACTCTTTTTGTGTAATTTGCTAGTGCAGATTTCAAGCTCTTCGAGGACAATGGTAGGAAAGGAAATATCTTCGTATTAAAACTAGACAAACTCATTCTCAGAAACTACTTTGTGATGTGTGCATTCCACTCACAGAGTTTAACCTTTCTTTTAATTGAACAGTTTGGAAACACTATTTTTGTAAAGTCTGCAAGTGGATATTTGGACTTCTTTGAGCCCTTCGTTGGAAACGGGATTTCTCCATATACTGCTAGACCGAAGCATTTTCAGTAACTACTTTGTGTTGTGTGTATTCAACTCACAGATTTGAACCTTTCTTTAGACAGAGCAGATTTGAAACGCTCTTTTCGTGGATTTTGCATGTGGAGGTTTCAAACGATTTGAGGCCAATGGTAGAAAAGGAAATATCTTCGTATAAAAACTAGAGAGAATCATTCTCAGAAATTACTTTCTGATGTGTGCGTGCAACTCACGGAGATTAACCTTTCTTTTCATAGAGCAGTTTGGAAAGACTCTGTCTGTAAGGTCTGCAAGTGGATATTTAGATTTCTGTGAGGCCTTCGTTGCAAATGGGATTTCTTCATATACTCACAGACAGAAGAATTCTCAGTAACTACTTTGTGTTGTGTGCATTCAACTCACAGAGTTGAACCTTCCTTTATTCAGAGCAGTTTTGAAACACTCTTTTTGTGGAATTTGCAAGTGGAGATTTCAAGGGATTTGTGGCCAATCTTAGAAATGGAAATATCTTCGAATTAAAACTACACAGAATCGTTCGCAGAAACTAGTTTGTGATGTGTGCGTTCAACTCACAGAGTTTAACGTTTCCTTTCATGGAGCAGTTTGGAAACGCTCTCTTTGTAAAGTCTCCAAGTGGATATTTGGAGCTGTTTGAGCCCTTCGTTGGAAACGGGACTTCTTCATATAATGCTAGACAGAAGAATACTCAGTAACTTCTTTGTGCTGTGTGTATTCAATTCACAGAGTTGAACTTTTCTTTAGACAGAGCAGATTTGATACTCTCTTTTCGTGGCTTTTGCCAGAGGAGATTTCAAGTCATTGGAGGCCAATGGTAGAAAAGAAAATATCTTCGTATAATAACTAAACAGAATCATTCTCAGAAACTTCTTTGTGATGTGTGCGTTCAACTCACAGAGTTTAACCTTTCTTTTCATAGAGCAGGTTGGAAGCACTCTCTTTGTAAAGTCTGCATGCAGATATTTGGACTTTTGAGGCCTTCGTTGGAAACGGGATTTCTTCATATACTGCTAGACCGAAGAATTCTCAGTAACTTCTTTGGGTTATGTGTATTCAATTCACAGCGTTGAACCTTTCTTTAGACCGAGCAGATTTGAAACTCTCCTTTCGTTGCTTTTGCAAGTGGAGATTTCAAGCGATTTGAGGCCAATTGTAAAAAAGGAAATATCTTCGTATAAAAACTTGACAGAACAATTCTCAGAAACTGCTCTGTGATTTTTGCGTTCAACTCACAGATTTTAAACTTTCTTTTCATAGAGCAGTTTGGAAACACTCTTTTTGTAAAGTCTGCAAGCGGATATTTGGACCTCTTTCAGGCCTTCTTTGGAAACGGGATTTCTCCATATACTGCTAGCCCGAAGAATTTTCAGTAACTACTTTGTGTTGTGTGTATTCAACTCACAGATTTGAACCTTTCTTTAGACAGAGCAGATTTGAAACGCTCTTTTCGTGGCTTTTGCAAGTAAAGATTTCAAGCGATTTGAGGCCAATGGTAGAAAAGGAAATATCTTCGTATAAAAACTAGACAGAGTCATTCTCAGAATCTACTTTGTAATGTGTGCGTGCAACTCACGGAGATTAACCTTTCTTTTCATAGAGAAGTTTGGAAACACTCTGTCTGTAAGGTCTGCAAGTGGATATTTAGATTTCTGTGAGGCCTTCTTTGCAAACGGGATTTCTTCATATACTGCCCGACAGAAGAATTCTCAGTTACTACTTTCTGTTGTGTGCATTCAACTCACAGAGTTGAACCTTCCTTTATTCAGAGCAGTTTTGAAACACTCTTTTTGTGGAATTTGCAAGTGGAGATTTCAAGGGATTTGAGGCCAATCTTAGAAATGGAAATATCTTCGAATTAAAACTACACAGAATCATTCGCAGAAACTAGTTTGTGATGTGTGCGTTCAACTCACAGAGTTTAACGTTTCTTTTCATAGAGCAGTTTGGAAACGCTGTCTTTGTAAAGTCTGCAAGTGGATATTAGGACCTCTTTGAGGCCTTCGTTGGAAACGGGATTTCCTCCTATAATGCTAGACAGAAGAATTCCCAGTCACTTCTTTGTGTTGTGTGCATTCAACTCAGAGATTTGAACCTTCCTTTAGAGAGAGCACATTTAAAACACTCTTTTTGTGTAATTTGCTAGTGCAGATTTCAAGCTCTTCGAGGACAATGGTAGGAAAGGAAATATCTTCGTATTAAAACTAGACAAAATCATTCTCAGAAACTACTTTGTGATGTGTGCGTTCCACTCACAGAGTTTAACCTTTCTTTTAATTGAGCAGTTTGGAAACACTCTCTTTGTAAAGTCTGCAGTAGGATATTTGGACCTCTTTGAGGCCTTCGTTGGAAACGGGATTTCTTCATATAATGCTAGATAGAAGAATTCTCAGTAACTTGTTTGTGTTGTGTGTATTCAACTAACAGAGTTGAACCTTCCTTTAGAAAGAGCAGTTTTCAAACACTCTGTTTGTGCAATTTCCAATGGAGATTTCTAGGGATTTGAGGCCAGTCTTAGAAATGGAAATATCTTTGTATAAAAACTAGACAGTGTCATTCTGAGATACTACCTTGTGATGTGTGCGTTCAACTCACAGAGTTTAACCTTTCTTTTCACAGAGCAGTTTGGAAACACTCTATTTGTAAAGTCTGCAAGTGGATATTTGGACCTCTTTGAGGCCTTCGTTGGAAACGGGATTTCTTCCTATAATGCTAGACAGAAGTATTCTCAGTCACTTCTTTGTGTTGTGTGCATTCAACTCAGAGATTTGAACCTTCCTTTAGAGAGAGCACATTTGAAACACTCTTTTTTTGTAATTTGCTAGTGCAGATTTCAAGCTCTTCGAGGACAATGGTAGAAAAGGAAATATCTTCGTATGAAAACTAGACAAACTCATTCTCAGAAACTACTTTGTGATGTGGGCGTTCCACTCACAGAGTTTAACCTTTCTTTTAATTGAGCAGTTTGGAAACACTATTTTTGTAAAGTCTGCAAGTGGATATTTGGACTTCTTTGAGCCCTTCGTTGGAAACGGGATTTCTCCATATACTGCTAGACCGAAGCATTTTCAGTAACTACTTTGTGTTGTGTGTATTCAACTCACAGATTTGAACCTTTCTTTAGACAGAGCAGATTTGAAACGCTCTTTTCGTGGCTTTTGCATGTGGAGGTTTCAAACGATTTGAGGCCAATGGTAGAAAAGGAAATATCTTCGTATAAAAACTAGAGAGAATCATTCTCAGAAATTACTTTCTGATGTGTGCGTGCAACTCACGGAGATTAACCTTTCCTTTCATAGAGCAGTTTGGAAAGACTCTGTCTGTAAGGTCTGCAAGTGGATATTTAGATTTCTGTGAGGCCTTCGTTGCAAACGGGATTTCTTCATATACTCACAGACAGAAGAATTCTCAGTAACTCTTTGTGTTGTGTGCATTCAACTCACGGAGTTGAACCTTCCTTTATTCAGAGCAGTTTTGAAACACTCTTTTTGTGGAATTTGCAAGTGGAGATTTCAAGGGATTTGAGGCCAATCTTAGAAATGGAAATATCTTCGAATTAAAACTACACAGAATCGTTCGCAGAAACTAGTTTGTGATGTGTGCGTTCAACTCACAGAGTTTAACGTTTCTTTTCATAGAGCAGTTTGGAAACGCTCTCTTTGTAAAGTCTCCAAGTGGATATTTGGAGCTCTTTGAGCCCTTCGTTGGAAACGGGACTTCTTCATATAATGCTACACAGAAGATTACTCAGTAACTTCTTTGTGCTGTGTGTATTCAACTCACAGAGTTGAACTTTTCTTTAGACAGAGCAGATTTGATACTCTCTTTTCGTGGATTTTGCCAGAGGAGATTTCAAGTCATTGGAGGCCAATGGTAGAAAAGAAAATATCTTCGTATAATAAATAAACAGAATCATTCTCAGAAACTTCTTTGTGATGTGTGCGTTCAACTCACAGAGTTTAACCTTTCTTTTCATAGAGCAGGTTGGAAGCACTCTCTTTGTAAAGTCTGCAAGCAGATATTTGGACCTTTTTGAGGCCTTCGTTGGAAACGGGATTTCTTCATATACTGCTAGACCGAAGAATTCTCAGTAACTTCTTTGGGTTGTGTGTATTCAATTCACAGAGTTGAACCTTTCTTTAGACCGAGCAGATTTGAAACTCTCCTTTCGTTGCTTTTGCAAGTGGAGATTTCAAGCGATTTGAGGCCAATTGTAGAAAAGGAAATATCTTCGTATAAAAACTAGACAGAACAATTCTCAGAAACTGCTCTGTGATTTGTGCGTTCAACTCACAGATTTTAAACTTTCTTTTCATAGAGCAGTTTGGAAACACTCTTTTTGTAAAGTCTGCAAGCGGATATTTGGACCTCTTTCAGGCCTTCTTTGGAAACGGGATTTCTCCATATACTGCTAGCCCGAAGAATTTTCAGTAACTACTTTGTGTTGTGTGTATTCAACTCACAGATTTGAACCTTTCTTTAGACAGAGCAGATTTGAAACGCTCTTTTCGTGGCTTTTGCAAGTAAAGATTTCAAGCGATTTGAGGCCAATGGTAGAAAAGGAAATATCTTCGTATAAAAACTAGACAGAATCATTCTCAGAATCTACTTTGTGATGTGTGCGTGCAACTCACGGAGATTAACCTTTCTTTTCATAGAGAAGTTTGGAAACACTCTGTCTGTAAGGTCTGCAAGTGGATATTTAGATTTCTGTGAGGCCTTCGTTGCAAACGGGATTTCTTCAAATACTGCCCGACAGAAGAATTCTCAGTTACTACTTTCTGTTGTGTGCATTCAACTCACAGAGTTGAACCTTTCTTTATTCAGAGCAGTTTTGAAACACTCTTCTTGTGGAATTTGCAAGTGGAGATTTCAAGGGATTTGAGGCCAATGGTAGAAAAGAAAATATCTTCGAATTAAAACTACACAGAATCATTCGCAGAAACTAGTTTGTGATGTGTGCGTTCAACTCACACAGTTTAACGTTTCTTTTCATAGAGCAGTTTGGAAACGCTGTCTTTGTAAAGTCTGCAAGTGGATATTAGGACCTCTTTGAGGCCTTCGTTGGAAACGGGATTTCCTCCTATAATGCTAGACAGAAGAATTCCCAGTCACTTCTTTGTGTTGTGTGCATTCAACTCAGAGATTTGAACCTTCCTTTAGAGAGAGCACATTTAAAACACTCTTTTTGTGTAATTTGCTAGTGCAGATTTCAAGCTCTTCGAGGACAATGGTAGGAAAGGAAATATCTTCGTATTAAAACTAGACAAAATCATTCTCAGAAACTACTTTGTGATGTGTGCATTCCACTCACAGACTTTAACCTTTCTTTTAATTGAGCAGTTTGGAAACACTCTCTTTGTAAAGTCTGCAGTAGGATATTTGGACCTCTTTGAGGCCTTCGTTGGAAACGGGATTTCTTCATATAATGCTAGATAGAAGAATTCTCAGTAACTTGCTTGTGTTGTGTGTATTCAACTAACAGAGTTGAACCTTCCTTTAGAAAGAGCAGTTTTCAAACACTCTGTTTGTGCAATTTCCAATGGAGATTTCTAGGGATTTGAGGCCAGTCTTAGAAATGGAAATATCTTTGTATAAAAACTAGACAGTGTCATTCTGAGATACTACCTTGTGATGTGTGCGTTCAACTCACAGAGTTTAACCTTTCTTTTCATAGAGCAGTTTGGAAACACTCTATTTGTAAAGTCTGCAAGTGGATATTTGGACCTCTTTGAGGCCTTCGTTGGAAACGGGATTTCTTCCTATAATGCTAGACAGAAGTATTCTCAGTCACTTCTTTGTGTTGTGTGCATTCAACTCAGAGATTTGAACCTTCCTTTAGAGAGAGCACATTTGAAACACTCTTTTTGTGTAATTTGCTAGTGCAGATTTCAAGCTCTTCGAGGACAATGGTAGAAAAGGAAATATCTTCGTATGAAAACTAGACAAACTCATTCTCAGAAACTACTTTGTGATGTGTGCGTTCCACTCACAGAGTTTAACCTTTCTTTTAATTTAGCAGTTTGGAAACACTATTTTTGTAAAGTCTGCAAGTGGATATTTGGACTTCTTTGAGCCCTTCGTTGGAAACGGGATTTCTCCATATACTGCTAGACCGAAGCATTTTCAGTAACTACTTTGTGTTGTGTGTATTCAACTCACAGATTTGAACCTTTCTTTAGACAGAGCAGATTTGAAACGCTCTTTTCGTGGCTTTTGCATGTGGAGGTTTCAAACGATTTGAGGCCAATGGTAGAAAAGGAAATATCTTCGTATAAAAACTAGAGAGAATCATTCTCAGAAATTACTTTCTGATGTGTGCGTGCAACTCACGGAGATTAACCTTTCTTTTCATAGAGCAGTTTGGAAAGACTCTGTCTGTAAGGTCTGCAAGTGGATATTTAGATTTCTGTGAGGCCTTCGTTGCAAACGGGATTTCTTCATATACTCACAGACAGAAGAATTCTCAGTAACTCTTTGTGTTGTGTGCATTCAACTCATGGAGTTGAACCTTCCTTTATTCAGAGCAGTTTTGAAACACTCTTTTTGTGGAATTTGCAAGTGGAGATTTCAAGGGATTTGAGGCCAATCTTAGAAATGGAAATATCTTCGAATTAAAACTACACAGAATCGTTCGCAGAAACTAGTTTGTGATGTGTGCGTTCAACTCACAGAGTTTAACGTTTCTTTTCATAGAGCAGTTTGGAAACGCTCTCTTTGTAAAGTCTCCAAGTGGATATTTGGAGCTCTTTGAGCCCTTCGTTGGAAACGGGACTTCTTCATATAATGCTAGACAGAAGAATACTCAGTAACTTCTTTGTGCTGTGTGTATTCAACTCACAGAGTTGAACTTTTCTTTAGATAGAGCAGATTTGATACTCTCTATTCGTGGCTTTTGCCAGAGGAGATTTCAAGTCATTGGAGGCCAATGGTAGAAAAGAAAATATCTTCGTATAATAACTAAACAGAATCATTCTCAGAAACTTCTTTGTGATGTGTGCGTTCAACTCACAGAGTTTAACCTTTCTTTTCATAGAGCAGGTTGGAAGCACTCTCTTTGTAAAGTCTGCAAGCAGATATTTGGACCTTTTTGAGGCCTTCGTTGGAAACGGGATTTCTTCATATACTGCTAGACCGAAGAATTCTCAGTAACTTCTTTGGGTTGTGTGTATTCAATTCACAGAGTTGAACCTTTCTTTAGACCGAGCAGATTTGAAACTCTCATTTCGTTGCTTTTGCAAGTGGAGATTTCAAGCGATTTGAGGCCAATTGTAGAAAAGGAAATATCTTCGTATAAAAACTAGACAGAACAATTCTCAGAACTGCTCTGTGATTTGTGCGTTCAACTCACAGATTTTAAACTTTCTTTTCATAGAGCAGTTTGGAAACACTCTTTTTGTAAAGTCTGCAAGCGGATATTTGGACCTCTTTCAGGCCTTCTTTGGAAACGGGATTTCTCCATATACTGCTAGCCCAAAGCATTTTCAGTAACTACTTTGTGTTGTGTGTATTCAACTCACAGATTTGAACCTTTCTTTAGACAGAGCAGATTTGAAACGCTCTTTTCGTGGCTTTTGCAAGTAAAGATTTCAAGCGATTTGAGGACAATGGTAGAAAAGGAAATATCTTCGTATAAAAACTAGACAGAATCATTCTCAGAATCTACTTTGTGATGTGTGCGTGCAACTCACGGAGATTAACCTTTCTTTTCATAGAGAAGTTTGGAAACACTCTGTCTGTAAGGTCTGCAAGTGGATATTTAGATTTCTGTGAGGCCTTCGTTGCAAACGGGATTTCTTCATATACTGCCCGACAGAAGAATTCTCAGTTACTACTTTCAGTTGTGTGCATTCAACTTACAGAGTTGAACCTTCCTTTATTCAGAGCAGTTTTGAAACACTCTTTTTGTGGAATTTGCAAGTGGAGATTTCAAGGGATTTGAGGCCAATCTTAGAAATGGAAATATCTTCGAATTAAAACTACACAGAATCATTCGCAGAAACTAGTTTGTGATGTGTGCGTTCAACTCACAGAGTCTAACGTTTCTTTTCATAGAGCAGTTTGGAAACGCTGTCTTTGTAAAGTCTGCAAGTGGATATTAGGACCTGCTTTGAGGCCTTCGTTGGAAACGGGATTTCCTCCTATAATGCTAGACAGAAGAATTCCCAGTCACTTCTTTGTGTTGTGTGCATTCAACTCAGAGATTTGAACCTTCCTTTAGAGAGAGCACATTTGAAACACTCTTTTTGTGTAATTTGCTAGTGCAGATTTCAAGCTCTTCGAGGACAATGGTAGGAAAGGAAATATCTTCGTATTAAAACTAGACAAAATCATTCTCAGAAACTACTTTGTGATGTGTGCATTCCACTCACAGAGTTTAACCTTTCTTTTAATTGAGCAGTTTGGAAACACTCTCTTTGTAAAGTCTGCAGTAAGATATTTGGACCTCTTTGAGGCCTTCGTTGGAAACGGGATTTCTTCATATAATGCTAGATAGAAGAATTCTCAGTAACTTGTTTGTGTTGTGTGTATTCAACTAACAGAGTTGAACCTTCCTTTAGAAAGAGCAGTTTTCAAACACTCTGTTTGTGCAATTTCCAATGGAGATTTCTAGGGATTTGAGGCCAGTCTTAGAAATGGAAATATCTTTGTATAAAAACTAGACAGTGTCATTCTGAGATACTACCTTGTGATGTGTGCGTTCAACTCACAGAGTTTAACCTTTCTTTTCATAGAGCAGTTTGGAAACACTCTATTTGTAAAGTCTGCAAGTGGATATTTGGACCTCTTTGAGGCCTTCTTTGGAATCGGGATTTCTTCCTGTAATGCTAGACAGAAGTATTCTCAGTCACTTCTTTGTGTTGTGTGCATTCAACTGAGAGATTTGAACCTTCCTTTAGAGAGAGCACATTTGAAACACTCTTTTTGTGTAATTTGCTAGAGCAGATTTCAAGCTCTTCGAGGACAATGGTAGAAAAGGAAATATCTTCGTATGAAAACTAGACAAACTCATTCTCAGAAACTACTTTGTGATATGTGTGCATTCCACTCACAGAGTTTAACCATTCTTTTAATTGAGCAGTTTGGAAACACTATTTTTGTAAAGTCTGCAAGTGGATATTTGGACTTCTTTGAGCCCTTCGTTGGAAACGGGATTTCTCCATATACTGCTAGACCGAAGCATTTTCAGTAACTACTTTGTGTTGTGTGTATTCAACTCACAGATTTGAACCTTTCTTTAGACAGAGCAGATTTGAAACGCTCTTTTCGTGGCTTTTGCATGTGGAGGTTTCAAACGATTTGAGGCCAATGGTAGAAAAGGAAATATCTTCGTATAAAAACTAGAGAGAATCATTCTCAGAAATTACTTTCTGATGTGTGCGTGCAACTCACGGAGATTACCCTTTCTTTTCATAGAGCAGTTTGGAAAGACTCTGTCTGTAAGGTCTGCAAGTGGATATTTAGATTTCTGGGAGGCCTTCGTTGCAAACGGGATTTCTTCATATACTCACAGACAGAAGAATTCTCAGTAACTTCTTTGTGTTGTGTGTATTCAACTCACCCAGTTGAACCTTCCTTTATTCAGAGCAGTTTTGAAACACTCTTTTTGTGGAATTTGCAAGTGGAGATTTAAAGCAATTTGAGGCCAATCTTAGAAATAGAAATATCTTCGAATTATAACTACACAGAATCGTTCGCAGAAACTAGTTTGTGATGTGTGCGTTCAACTCACAGAGTTTAACGTTTCTTTCCATAGAGCAGTTTGGAAACGCTCTCTTTGTAAAGTCTCCAAGTGGATATTTGGAGCTGAGCCGTTCGTTGGAAACGGGACTTCTTCATATAATGCTAGACAGAAGAATACTCAGTAACTTCTTTGTGCTGTGTGTATTCAACTCACAGAGTTGAACTTTTCTTTAGACAGAGCAGATTTGATACTCTCTTTTCGTGGCTTTTGCCAGAGGAGATTTCAAGTCATTGGAGGCCAATGGTAGAAAAGAAAATATCTTCGTATAATAACTAAACAGAATCATTCTCAGAAACTTCTTTGTGATGTGTGCGTTCAAGTCACAGAGTTTAACCTTTCTTTTCATAGAGCAGGTTGGAAGCACTCTCTTTGTAAAGTCTGCAAGCAGATATTTGGACCTTTTTGAGGCCTTCGTTGGAAACGGGATTTCTTCATATACTGCTAGACCGAAGAATTCTCAGTAACTTCTTTGGGTTGTGTGTATTCAATTCACAGAGTTGAACCTTTCTTTAAACCGAGCAGATTTGAAACTCTCCTTTCGTTGCTTTTACAAGTGGAGATTTCAGGCGATTTGAGGCCAATTGTAGAAAAGGAAATATCGTCGTATAAAAACTAGACAGAACAATTCTCAGGAACTGCTCTGTGATTTGTGCGTTCAACTCACAGATTTTAAACTTTCTTTTCATAGAGCAGTTTGGAAACACTCTTTTTGTAAAGTCTGCAAGCGGATATTTGGACCTCTTTCAGGCCTTCTTTGGAAACGGGATTTCTCCATATACTTCTAGCCCGAAGCATTTTCAGTAACTACTTTGTGTTGTGTGTATTCAACTCACAGATTTGAACCTTTCTTTAGACAGAGCAGATTTGAAACGCTCTTTTCGTGGCTTTTGCAAGTAAAGATTTCAAGCGATTTGAGGCCAATGGTAGAAAAGGAAATATCTTCGTATAAAAACTAGACAGAATCATTTTCAGAATCTACTTTGTGAAGTGTGCGTGCAACTCACGGAGATTAACCTTTCTTTTCATAGAGAAGTTTGGAAACACTCTGTCTGTAAGGTCTGCAAGTGGATATTTAGATTTCTGTGAGGCCTTCGTTGCAAACGGGATTTCTTCATATACTGCCCGACAGAAGAATTCTCAGTTACTACTTTCTGTTGTGTGCATTCAACTCACAGAGTTGAACCTTCCTTTATTCAGAGCAGTTTTGAAACACTCTTTTTGTGGCATTTGCAAGTGGAGATTGCAAGGGATTTGAGGCCAATCTTAGAAATGGAAATATCTTCGAATTAAAACTACACAGAATCATTCGCAGAAACTAGTTTGTGATGTGTGCGTTCAACTCACAGAGTTTAACGTTTCTTTTCATAGAGCAGTTTGGAAACGCTGTCTTTGTAAAGTCTGCAAGTGGATATTAGGACCTCTTTGAGGCCTTCGTTGGAAACGGGATTTCCTCCTATAATGCTAGACAGAAGAATTCCCAGTCACTTCTTTGTGTTGTGTGCATTCAACTCAGAGATTTGAACCTTCCTTTAGAGAGAGCACATTTAAAACACTCTTTTTGTGTAATTTGCTAGTGCAGATTTCAAGCTCTTCGAGGACAATGGTAGGAAAGGAAATATCTTCGTATTAAAACTAGACAAAATCATTCTCAGAAACTACTTTGTGATGTGTGCGTTCCACTCACAGAGTTTAACCTTTCTTTTAATTGAGCAGTTTGGAAACACTCTCTTTGTAAAGCCTGCAGTAGGATATTTGGACCTCTTTGAGGCCTTCGTTGGAAACGGGATTTCTTCATATAATGCTAGATAGAAGAATTCTCAGTAACTTGTTTGTGTTGTGTGTATTCAACTAACAGAGTTGAACCTTCCTTTAGAAAGAGCAGTTTTCAAACACTCTGTTTGTGCAATTTCCAATGGAGATTTCTAGGGATTTGAGGCCAGTCTTAGAAATGGAAATATCTTTGTATAAAAACTAGACAGTGTCATTCAGAGATACTACCTTGTGATGTGTGCGTTCAACTCACAGAGTTTAACCTTTCTTTTCATAGAGCAGTTTGGAAACACTCTATTTGTAAAGTCTGCAAGTGGATATTTGGACCTCTTTGAGGCCTTCGTTGGAAACGCGATTTCTTCCTATAATGCTAGACAGAAGTATTCTCAGTCACTTCTTTGTGTTGTGTGCATTCAACTCAGAGATTTGAACCTTCCTTTAGAGAGAGCACATTTGAAACACTCTTTTTGTGTATTTTGCTAGTGCAGATTTCAAGCTCTTCGAGGACAATGGTAGAAAAGGCAATATCTTCGTATGAAAAGTAGACAAACTCATTCTCAGAAACTACTTTGTGATGTGTGCGTTCCACTCACAGAGTTTAACCTTTCTTTTAATTGAGCAGTTTGGAAACACTATTTTTGTAAACTCTGCAAGTGGATATTTGGACTTCTTTGAGCCCTTCGTTGGAAACGGGATTTCTCCATATACTGCTAGACCGAAGCATTTTCAGTAACTACTTTGTGTTGTGTGTATTCAAGTCACAGATTTGAACCTTTCTTTAGACAGAGCAGATTTGAAACGCTCTTCTCGTGGCTTTTGCATGTGGAGGTTTCAAACGATTTGAGGCCAATGGTAGAAAAGGAAATATCTTCGTATAAAAACTAGAGAGAATCATTCTCAGAAATTACTTTGTGATGTGTGCGTGCAACTCACGGAGATTAACCTTTCTTTTCATAGAGCAGTTTGGAAAGACTCTGTCTGTAAGGTCTGCAAGTGGATATTTAGATTTCTGTGAGGCCTTCGTTGCAAACGGGATTTCTTCATATACTCACAGACAGAAGAATTCTCAGTAACTCTTTGTGTTGTGTGCATTCAACTCACGGAGTTGAACCTTCCTTTATTCAGAGCAGTTTTGAAACACTCTTTTTGTGGAATTTGCAAGTGGAGATTTCAAGGGATTTGAGGCCAATCTTAGAAATGGAAATATCTTCGAATTAAAACTGCACAGAATCGTTCGCAGAAACTAGTTTGTGATGTGTGCGTTCAACTCACAGAGTTTAACGTTTCTTTTCATAGAGCAGTTTGGAAACGCTCTCTTTGTAAAGTCTCCAAGTGGATATTTGGAGCTCTTTGAGCCCTTCGTTGGAAACGGGACTTCTTCATATAATGCTAGACAGAAGAATACTCAGTAACTTCTTTGTGCTGTGTGTATTCAACTCACAGAGTTGAACTTTTCTTTAGACAGAGCAGATTTGATACTCTCTTTTCGTGGCTTTTGCCAGAGGAGATTTCAAGTCATTGGAGGCCAATGGTAGAAAAGAAAATATCTTCGTATAATAACTAAACGGAATCATTCTCAGAAACTTCTTTGTGATGTGTGCGTTCAACTCACAGAGTTTAACCTTTCTTTTCCTAGAGCAGGTTGGAAGCACTCTCTTTGTAAAGTCTGCAAGCAGATATTTGGTCCTTTTTGAGGCCTTCGTTGGAAACGGGATTTCTTCATATACTGCTAGACCGAAGAATTCTCAGTAACTTCTTTGGGTTGTGTGTATTCAATTCACAGATTTGAACCTTATTTTAGACCGAGCAGATTTGAAACTCTCCTTTTGTTGCTTTTGCAAGTGGAGATTTCAAGCGATTTGAGGCCAATTGTAGAAAAGGAAATATCTTCGTATAAAAACTAGACAGAACAATTCTCAGAAACTGCTCTGTGATTTGTGCATTCAACTCACAGATTTTAAACTTTCTTTTCATAGAGCAGTTTGGAAACACTCTTTTTGTAAAGTCTGCAAGCGGATATTTGGACCTCTTTCAGGCCTTCTTTGTAAACGGGATTTCTCCATATACTGCTAGCCCGAAGAATTTTCAGTAACTACTTTGTGTTGTGTGTATTCAACTCACAGATTTGAACCTTTCTTTAGACAGAGCAGATTTGAAACGCTCTTTTCGTGGCTTTTGCAAGTAAAGATTTCAAGCGATTTGAGGCCAATGGTAGAAAAGGAAATATCTTCGTATAAAAACTAGACAGAATCATTCTCAGAATCTACTTTGTGATGTGTGCGTGCAACTCACGGAGATTCACCTTTCTTTTCATAGAGAAGTTTGGAAACACTCTGTCTGTAAGGTCTGCAAGTGGATATTTAGATTTCTGTGAGGCCTTCATTGCAAACGGGATTTCTTCATATACTGCCCGACAGAAGAATTCTCAGTTACTACTTTCAGTTGTGTGCATTCAACTCACAGAGTTGAACCTTCCTTTATTCAGAGCAGTTTTGAAACACTCTTTTTGTGGAATTTGCAAGTGGAGATTTCAAGGGATTTGAGGCCAATCTTAGAAATGGAAATATCTTCGAATTAAAACTACACAGAATCATTCGCAGAAACTAGTTTGTGATGTGTGCGTTCAACTCACAGAGTTTAACGTTTCTTTTCATAGAGCAGTTTGGAAACGCTGTCTTTGTAAAGTCTGCAAGTGGATATTAGGACCTCTTTGAGGCCTTCGTTGGAAACGGGATTTCCTCCTATAATGCTAGACAGAAGAATTCCCAGTCACTTCTTTGTGTTGTGTGCATTCAACTCAGAGATTTGAACCTTCCTTTAGAGAGAGCACATTTGAAACACTCTTTTTGTGTAATTTGCTAGTGCAGATTTCAAGCTCTTCGAGGACAATGGTAGGAAAGGAAATATCTTTGTATTAAAACTAGACAAAATCATTCTCAGAAACTACTTTGTGATGTGTGCGTTCCACTCACAGAGTTTAACCTTTCTTTTCATTGAGCAGTTTGGAAACACTCTCTTTGTAAAGTCTGCAGTAGGATATTTGGACCTCTTTGAGGCCTTCGTTGGAAACGGGATTTCTTCATATAATGCTAGATAGAAGAGTTCTCAGTAACTTGTTTGTGTTGTGTGTATTCAACTAACAGAGTTGAAACTTCCTTTAGAAAGAGCAGTTTTCAAACACTCTGTTTGTGCAATTTCCAATGGAGATTTCTAGGGATTTGAGGCCAGTCTTAGAAATGGAAATATCTTTGTATAAAAACTAGACAGTGTCATTCTGAGATACTACCTTGTGATGTGTGCGTTCAACTCACAGAGTTTAACCTTTCTTTTCATAGAGCAGTTTGGAAACACTCTATTTGTAAAGTCTGCAAGTGGATATTTGGACCTCTTTGAGGCCTTCGTTGGAAACGGGATTTCTTCCTGTAATGCTAGACAGAAGTATTCTCAGTCACTTCTTTGTGTTGTGTGCATTCAACTCAGAGATTTGAACCTTCCTTTAGAGAGAGCACATTTGAAACACTCTTTTTGTGTAATTTTCTAGTGCAGATTTCAAGCTCTTCGAGGACAATGGTAGAAAAGGAAATATCTTCGTATGAAAACTAGACAAACTCATTCTCAGAAACTACTTTGTGATGTGTGCATTCCACTCACAGAGTTTAACCTTTCTTTTAATTGAGCAGTTTGGAAACACTATTTTTGTAAAGTCTGCAAGTGGATATTTGGACTTCTTTGAGCCCTTCGTTGGAAACGGGATTTCTCCATATACTGCTAGACCGAAGCATTTTCAGTAACTACTTTGTGTTGTGTGTATTCAACTCACAGATTTGAACCTTTCTTTAGACAGAGCAGATTTGAAACGCTCTTTTCGTGGCTTTTGCATGTGGAGGTTTCAAACGATTTGAGGCCAATGGTAGAAAAGGAAATATCTTCGTATAAAAACTAGAGAGAATCATTCTCAGAAATTACTTTCTGATGTGTGCGTGCAACTCACGGAGATTAACCTTTCTTTTCATAGAGCAGTTTGGAAAGACTCTGTCTGTAAGGTCTGCAAGTGGATATTTAGATTTCTGGGAGGCCTTCGTTGCAAACGGGATTTCTTCATATACTCACAGACAGAAGAATTCTCAGTAACTCTTTGTGTTGTGTGCATTCAACTCACGGAGTTGAACCTTCCTTTATTCAGAGCAGTTTTGAAACACTCTTTTTGTGGAATTTGCAAGTGGAGATTTCAAGGGATTTGAGGCCAATCTTAGAAATGGAAATATCTTCGAATTAAAACTACACAGAATCGTTCGCAGAAACTAGTTTCTGATGTGTGCGTTCAACTCACAGAGTTTAACGTTTCTTTTCATAGAGCAGTTTGGAAACGCTCTCTTTGTAAAGTCTCCAAGTGGATATTTGGAGCTGTTTGAGCCCTTCGTTGGAAACGGGACTTCTTCATATAATGCTAGACAGAAGAATACTCAGTAACTTCTTTGTGCTGTGTGTATTCAACTCACAAAGTTGAACTTTTCTTTAGACAGGGCAGATTTGATACTCTCTTTTCGTGGCTTTTGCCAGAGGAGATTTCAAGTCATTGGAGGCCAATGGTAGAAAAGAAAATATCTTCGTATAATAACTAAACAGAATCATTCTCAGAAACTTCTTTGTGATGTGTGCGTTCAACTCACAGAGTTTAACCTTTCTTTTCATAGAGCAGGTTGGAAGCACTCTCTTTGTAAAGTCTGCAAGCAGATATTTGGACCTTTTCGAGGCCTTCGTTGGAAACGGGATTTCTTCATATACTGCTAGACCGAAGAATTCTCAGTAAGTTCTTTGGGTTGTGTGTATTCAATTCACAGAGTTGAACCTTTCTTTAGACCGAGCAGATTTGAAACTCTCCTTTCGTTGCTTTTGGAAGTGGAGATTTCAAGCGATTTGAGGCCAATTG
This sequence comes from Homo sapiens, assembly GCF_000001405.40. NCBI lineage: Eukaryota > Metazoa > Chordata > Mammalia > Primates > Hominidae > Homo > Homo sapiens. The sequence goes on from NC_000010.11 coordinate 39,874,027, forward strand.
TACAAAAGGAAATATCTTCGTATAAAAACTAGACAGAACAATTCTCAGAAACTGCTCTGTGATTTGTGCGTTCAACTCACAGATTTTAAACTTGCTTTTCATAGAGCAGTTTGGAAACACTCTTTTTGTAAAGTCTGCAAGCGGATATTTTGACCTCTTTCAGGCCTTCTTTGGAAACGGGATTTCTCCATATGCTGCTAGCCCGAAGCATTTTCAGTAACTACTTTGTGTTGTGTGTATTCAACTCACAGATTTGAACCTTTCTTTAGACAGAGCAGATTTGAAACGCTCTTTTCGTGGCTTTTGCAAGTAAAGATTTCAAGCGATTTGAGGCCAATGGTAGAAAAGGAAATATCTTCGTATAAAAACTAGACAGAATCGTTCTCAGAATCTACTTTGTGATGTGTGCGTGCAACTCACGGAGATTAACCTTTCTTTTCATAGAGAAGTTTGGAAAGAGTCTGTCTGTAAGGTCTGCAAGTGGATATTTAGATTTCTGTGAGGCCTTCGTTGCAAACGGGATTTCTTCATATACTGCCCGACAGAAGAATTCTCAGTTACTACTTTGTGTTGTGTGCATTCAACTCACAGAGTTGAACCTTCCTTTATTCAGAGCAGTTTTGAAACACTCTTTTTGTGGAATTTGCAAGTGGAGATTTCAAGGGATTTGAGGCCAATCTTAGAAATGGAAATATCTTCGAATTAAAACTACACAGAATCATTCGCAGAAACTAGTTTGTGATGTGTGCGTTCAACTCACAGAGTTTAACGTTTCTTTTCATAGAGCAGTTTGGAAACGCTGTCTTTGTAAAGTCTGCAAGTGGATATTAGGACCTCTTTGAGGCCTTCGTTGGAAACGGTATTTCCTCTTATAATGCTGGACAGAAGAATTCCCAGTCACTTCTTTGTGTTGTGTGCATTCAACTCAGAGATTTGAACCTTCCTTTAGAGAGAGCACATTTAAAACACTCTTTTTGTGTAATTTGCTAGTGCAGATTTCAAGCTCTTCGAGGACAATGGTAGGAAAGGAAATATCTTCGTATTAAAACTAGACAAAATCATTCTCAGAAACTACTTTGTGATGTGTGCGTTCCACTCACAGAGTTTAACCTTTCTTTTAATTGAGCAGTTTGCAAACACTCTCTTTGTAAAGCCTGCAGTAGGATATTTGGACCTCTTTGAGGCCTTCGTTGGAAACGGGATTTCTTCATATAATGCTAGATAGAAGAATACTCAGTAACTTGTTTGTGTTGTTTGTATTCAACTAACAGAGTTGAACCTTCCTTTAGAAAGAGCAGTTTTCAAACACTCTGTTTGTGCAATTTCCAATGGAGATTTCTAGGGATTTGAGGCCAGTCTTAGAAATGGAAATATCTTTGTATAAAAACTAGACAGTGTCATTCTGAGATACTACCTTGTGATGTGTGCGTTCAACTCACAGAGTTTAACCTTTCTTTTCATAGAGCAGTTTGGAAACACTCTATTTGTAAAGTCTGCAAGTGGATATTTGGACCTCTTTGAGGCCTTCGTTGGAAACGGGATTTCTTCCTATAATGCTAGACAGAAGTATTCTCAGTCACTTCTTTGTGTTGTGTGCATTCAACTCAGAGATTTGAACCTTCCTTTAGAGAGAGCACATTTGAAACACTCTTTTTGTGTAATTTGCTAGTGCAGATTTCAAGCTCTTCGAGGACAATGGTAGAAAAGGAAATATCTTCGTATGAAAACTAGACAAACTCATTCTCAGAAACTACTTTGTGATGTGTGCGTTCCACTCACAGAGTTTAACCTTTCTTTTAATTGAACAGTTTGGAAACACTAATTTTGTAAAGTCTGCAAGTGGATATTTGGACTTCTTTGAGCCCTTCGTTGGAAACGGGATTTCTCCATATACTGCTGGACCGAAGCATTTTCAGTAACTACTTTGTGTTGTGTGTATTCAACTCACAGATTTGAACCTTTCTTTAGACAGAGCAGATTTGAAACGCTCTTTTCGTGGCTTTTGCATGTGGAGGTTTCAAACGATTTGAGGCCAATGGTAGAAAAGGAAATATCTTCGTATAAAAACTGGAGAGAATCATTCTCAGAAATTACTTTCTGATGTGTGCGTGCAACTCACAGAGATTAACCTTTCTTTTCATAGAGCAGTTTGGAAAGACTCTGTCTGTAAGGTCTGCAAGTGGATATTTAGATTTCTGGGAGGCCTTCGTTGCAAACGGGATTTCTTCATATACTCACAGACAGAAGAATTCTCAGTAACTCTTTGTGTTGTGTGCATTCAACTCACGGAGTTGAACCTTCCTTTATTCAGAGCAGTTTTGAAACACTCTTTTTGTGGAATTTGCAAGTGAAGATTTCAAGGGATTTGAGGCCAATCTTAGAAATGGAAATATCTTCGAATTAAAACTACACAGAATCGTTCGCAGAAACTAGTTTGTGATGTGTGCGTTCAACTCACAGAGTTTAACGTTTCTTTTCATAGAGCAGTTTGGAAACGCTCTCTTTGTAAAGTCTCCAAGTGGATATTTGGAGCTCTTTGAGCCCTTCGTTGGAAACGGGACTTCTTCATATAATGCTAGACAGAAGAATACTCAGTAACTTCTTTGTGCTGTGTGTATTCAACTCACAGAGTTGAACTTTTCTTTAGACAGAGCAGATTTGATACTCTCTTTTCGTGGCTTTTGCCAGAGGAGATTTCAAGTCATTGGAGGCCAATGGTAGAAAAGAAAATATCTTCGTATAATAACTAAACAGAATCATTCTCAGAAACTTCTTTGTGATGTGTGCGTTCAACTCACAGAGTTTAACCTTTCTTTTCATAGAGCAGGTTGGAAGCACTCTCTTTGTAAAGTCTGCAAGCAGATATTTGGACCTTTCTGAGGCCTTCGTTGGAAACGGGATTTCTTCATATACTGCTAGACCGAAGAATTCTCAGTAACTTCTTTGGGTTGTGTGTATTCAATTCACAGAGTTGAACCTTTCTTTAGACCGAGCAGATTTGAAACTCTCCTTTCGTTGCTTTTGCAAGTGGAGATTTCAAGCGATTTGAGGCCAATTGTAGAAAAGGAAATATCTTCGTATAAAAACTAGACAGAACAATTCTCAGAAACTGCTCTGTGATTTGTGCGTTCAACTCACAGATTTTAAACTTTCTTTTCATAGAGCAGTTTGGAAACACTCTTTTTGTAAAGTCTGCAAGCGGATATTTGGACCTCTTTCAGGCCTTCTTTGGAAACGGGATTTCTCCATATACTGCTAGCCCGAAGAATTTTCAGTAACTACTTTGTGTTGTGTGTATTCAACTCACAGATTTGAACCTTTCTTTAGACAGAGGAGATTTGAAACGCTCTTTTCGTGGCTTTTGCAAGTAAAGATTTCAAGAGATTTGAGGCCAATGGTAGAAAAGGAAATATCTTCGTATAAAAACTAGACAGAATCATTCTCAGAATCTACTTTGTGATGTGTGCGTGCAACTCATGGAGATTAAGCTTTCTTTTCATAGAGAAGTTTGGAAACACTCTGTCTGTAAGGTCTGCAAGTGGATATTTAGATTTCTGTGAGGCCTTCGTTGCAAACGGGATTTCTTCATATACTCACAGACAGAAGAATTCTCAGTTACTACTTTCTGCTGTGTGCATTCAACTCACAGAGTTGAACCTTCCTTTATTCAGAGCAGTTTTGAAACACTCTTTTTGTGGAATTTGCAAGTGGAGATTTCAAGGGATTTGAGGCCAATCTTAGAAATGGAAATATCTTCGAATTAAAACTACACAGAATCATTCGCAGAAACTAGTTTGTGATGTGTGCGTTCAACTCACAGAGTTTAAGGTTTCTTTTCATAGAGCAGTTTGGAAACGCTGTCTTTGTAAAGTCTGCAAGTGGATATTAGGACCTCTTTGAGGCCTTCGTTGGAAACGGGATTTCCTCCTATAATGCTAGACAGAAGAATTCCCAGTCACTTCTTTGTGTTGTGTGCATTCAACTCAGAGATTTGAACCTTCCTTTAGAGAGAGCACATGTAAAACACTCTTTTTGTGTAATTTGCTAGTGCAGATTTCAAGCTCTTCGAGGACAATGGTAGGAAAGGAAATATCTTCGTATTAAAACTAGACAAAATCATTCTCAGAAACTACTTTGTGATGTGTGCGTTCCACTCACAGAGTTTAACCTTTCTTTTCATTGAGCAGTTTGGAAACACTCTCTTTGTAAAGCCTGCAGTAGGATATTTGGACCTCTTTGAGGCCTTCGTTTGAAACGGGATTTCTTCATATAATGCTAGATAGAAGAGTTCTCAGTAACTTGTTTGTGTTGTGTGTATTCAACTAACAGAGTTGAACCTTCCTTTAGAAAGAGCAGTTTTCAAACACTCTGTTTGTGCAATTTCCAATGGAGATTTCTAGGGATTTGAGGCCAGTCTTAGAAATGGAAATATCTTTGTATAAAAACTAGACAGTGTCATTCTGAGATACTACCTTGTGATGTGTGCGTTCAACTCACAGAGTTTAACCTTTCTTTTCATAGAGCAGCTTGGAAACACTCTATTTGTAAAGTCTGCAAGTGGATATTTGGACCTCTTTGAGGCCTTCGTTGGAAACGGGATTTCTTCCTATAATGCTAGACAGAAGTATTCTCAGTCACTTCTTTGTGTTGTGTGCATTCAACTCAGAGATTTGAACCTTCCTTTAGAGTGAGCACATTTGAAACACTCTTTTTGTGTAATTTGCTACTGCAGATTTCAAGCTCTTCGAAGACAATGGTAGGAAAGGAAATATCTTCGTATGAAAACTAGACAAACTCATTCTCAGAAACTACTTTGTGATGTGTGCGTTCCACTCACAGAGTTTAACCTTTCTTTTAATTGAGCAGTTTGGAAACACTATTTTTGTAAAGTCTGCAAGTGGATATTTGGACTTCTTTGAGCCCTTCGTTGGAAACGGGATTTCTCCATATACTGCTAGACCGAAGCATTTTCAGTAACTACTTTGTGTTGTGTGTATTCAACTCACAGATTTGAACCTTTCTTTAGACAGAGCAGATTTGAAACGCTCTTTTCGTGGCTTTTGCATGTGGAGGTTTCAAACGATTTGAGGCCAATGGTAGAAAAGGAAATATCTTCGTATAAAAACTAGAGAGAATCATTCTCAGAAATTACTTTCTGATGTGTGCGTGCAACTCACGGAGATTAACCTTTCTTTTCATAGAGCAGTTTGGAAAGACTCTGTCTGTAAGGTCTGCAAGTGGATATTTAGATTTCTGGGAGGCCTTCGTTGCAAACGGGATTTCTTCATATACTCACAGACAGAAGAATTCTCAGTAACTCTTTGTGTTGTGTGCATTCAACTCACGGAGTTGAACCTTCCTTTATTCAGAGCAGTTTTGAAACACTCTTTTTGTGGAATTTGCAAGTGGAGATTTCAAGGGATTTGAGGCCAATCTTAGAAATGGAAATATCTTCGAATTAAAACTACACAGAATCGTTCGCAGAAACTAGTTTGTGATGTGTGCGTTCAACTCAGAGAGTTTAACGTTTCTTTTCATGGAGCAGTTTGGAAATGCTCTCTTTGTAAAGTCTCCAAGTGGATATTTGGAGCTCTTTGAGCCCTTCGTTGGAAACGGGACTTCTTCATATAATGCTAGACAGAAGAATACTCAGTAACTTCTTTGTGCTGTGTGTATTCAAATCACAGAGTTGAACTTTTCTTTAGACAGAGCAGATTTGATACTCTCTTTTCGTGGCTTTTGCCAGAGGAGATTTCAAGTCATTGGAGGCCAATGGTAGAAAAGAAAATATCTTCGTATAATAACTAAACAGAATCATTCTCAGAAACTTCTTTGTGATGTGTGCGTTCAACTCACAGAGTTTAACCTTTCTTTTCATAGAGCAGGTTGGAAGCACTCTCTTTGTAAAGTCTGCAAGCAGATATTTGGACCTTTTTGAGGCCTTCGTTGGAAACGGGATTTCTTCATATACTGCTAGACCGAAGAATTCTCAGTAACTTCTTTGGGTTGTGTGTATTCAATTCACAGAGTTGAACCTTTCTTTAGACCGAGCAGATTTGAAACTCTCCTTTCGTTGCTTTTGCAAGTGGAGATTTCAAGCGATTTGAAGCCAATTGTAGAAAAGGAAATATCTTCGTATAAAAACTAGACAGAACAATTCTCAGAAACTGCTCTGTGATTTGTGCGTTCAACTCACAGATTTTAAACTTTCTTTTCATAGAGCAGTTTGGAAACACTCTTTTTGTAAAGTCTGCAAGCGGATATTTGGACCTCTTTCAGGCCTTCTTTGGAAACGGGATTTCTCCATATACTGCTAGCCCGAAGAATTTTCAGTAACCACTTTGTGTTGTGTGTATTCAACTCACAGATTTGAACCTTTCTTTAGACAGAGCAGATTTGAAACGCTCTTTTCGTGGCTTTTGCAAGTAAAGATTTGAAGCGATTTGAGGCCAATGGTAGAAAAGGAAATATCTTCGTATAAAAACTAGACAGAATCATTCTCAGAATCTACTTTGTGATGTGTGCGTGCAACTCACGGAGATTAACCTTTCTTTTCATAGAGAAGTTTGGAAACACTCTGTCTGTAAGTTCTGCAAGTGGATATTTAGATTTCTGTGAGGCCTTCATTGCAAACGGGATTTCTTCATATACTTCCCGACAGCAGAATTCTCAGTTACTACTTTCTGTTGTGTGCATTCAACTCACAGAGTTGAACCTTCCTTTATTCAGAGCAGTTTTGAAACACTCTTTTTGTGGAATTTGCAAGTGGAGATTTCAAGGGATTTGAGGCCAATCTTAGAAATGGAAATATCTTCGAATTAAAGCTACACAGAATCGTTCGCAGAAACTAGTTTGTGATGTGTGCGTTCAACTCACAGAGTTTAAGGTTTCTTTTCATAGAGCAGTTTGGAAACGCTGTCTTTGTAAAGTCTGCAAGTGGATATTAGGACCTCTTTGAGGCCTTCGTTGGAAACGGGATTTCCTCGTATAATGCTAGACAGAAGAATTCCCAGTCACTTCTTTGTGTTGTGTGCATTCAACTCAGAGATTTGAACCTTCCTTTAGAGAGATCACATTTAAAACACTCTTTTTGTGTAATTTGCTAATGCAGATTTCAAGCTCTTCGAGGACAATGGTAGGAAAGGAAATATCTTCGTATGAAAACTAGACAAAATCATTCTCAGAAACTACTTTGTGATGTGTGCGTTCCACTCACAGAGTTTAACGTTTCTTTTAATTGAGCAGTTTGGAAACACTCTCTTTGTAAAGCCTGCAGTAGGATATTTGGACCTCTTTGAGGCCTTCGTTGGAAACGGGATTTCTTCATATAATGCTAGATAGAAGAATTCTCAGTAACTTGTTTGTGTTGTGTGTATTCAACTAACAGAGTTGAACCTTCCTTTAGAAAGAGCAGTTTTCAAACACTCTGTTTGTGCAATTTCCAATGGAGATTTCTAGGGATTTGAGGCCAGTCTTAGAAATGGAAATATCTTTGTATAAAAACTAGACAGTGTCATTCTGAGATACTACCTTGTGATGTGTGCGTTCAACTCACAGAGTTTAACCTTTCTTTTCATAGAGCAGTTTGGAAACACTCTATTTGTAAAGTCTGCAAGTGGATATTTGGACCTCTTTGAGGCCTTCATTGGAAACGGGATTTCTTCCTATAATGCTAGACAGAAGTATTCTCAGTCACTTCTTTGTGTTGTGTGCATTCAACTCAGAGATTTGAACCTTCCTTTAGAGAGAGCACATTTGAAACACTCTTTTTGTGTAATTTGCTAGTGCAGATTTCAAGCTCTTCGAGGACAATGGTAGAAAAGGAAATATCTTCGTATGAAAACTAGACAAAATCATTCTCAGAAACTACTTTGTGATGTGTGCGTTCCACTCACAGAGTTTAACCTTTCTTTTAATTGAGCAGTTTGGAAACACTATTTTTGTAAAGTCTGCAAGTGGATATTTGGACTTCTTTGAGCCCTTCGTTGGAAACGGGATTTCTCCATATACTGCTAGACCAAAGCATTTTCAGTAACTACTTTGTGTTGTGTGTATTCAACTCACAGATTTGAACCTTTCTTTAGACAGAGCAGATTTGAAACGCTCTTTTCGTGGCTTTTGCATGTGGAGGTTTCAAACGATTTGAGGCCAATGGTAGAAAAGGGAATATCTTCGTATAAAAACTAGAGAGAATCATTCTCAGAAATTACTTTCTGATGTGTGCGTGCAACTCACGGAGATTAACCTTTCTTTTCATAGAGCAGTTTGGAAAGACTCTGTCTGTAAGGTCTGCAAGTGGATATTTAGATTTCTGTGAGGCCTTCGTTGCAAACGGGATTTCTTCATATACTCACAGACAGAAGAATTCTCAGTAACTCTTTGTGTTGTGTGCATTCAACTCACGGAGTTGAACCTTCCTTTATTCAGAGCAGTTTTGAAACACTCTTTTTGTGGAATTTGCAAGTGGAGATTTCAAGGGATTTGAGGCCAATCTTAGAAATGGAAATATCTTCGAATTAAAACTACACAGAATCGTTCGCAGAAACTAGTTTGTGATGTGTGCGTTCAACTCACAGAGTTTAACGTTTCTTTTCATAGAGCAGTTTGGAAACGCTCTCTTTGTAAAGTCTCCAAGTGGATATTTGGAGCTCTTTGAGCCCTTCGTTGGAAACGGGACTTCTTCATATAATGCTAGACAGAAGAATACTCAGTAACTTCTTTGTGCTGTGTGTATTCAACTCACAGAGTTGAAATTTTCTTTAGACAGAGCAGATTTGATACTCTCTTTTCGTGGCTTTTGCCAGAGGAGATTTCAAGTCATTGGAGGCCAATGGTAGAAAAGAAAATATCTTCGTATAATAACTAAACAGAATCATTCTCAGAAACTTCTTTGTGATGTGTGCGTTCAACTCACAGAGTTTAACCTTTCTTTTCATAGAGCAGGTTGGAAGCACTCTCTTTGTAAAGTCTGCAAGCAGATATTTGGACCTTTTTGAGGCCTTCGTTGGAAACGGGATTTCTTCATATACTGCTAGACCGAAGAATTCTCAGTAACTTCTTTGGGTTGTGTGTATTCAATTCACAGAGTTGAACCTTTCTTTAGACCGAGCAGATTTGAAACTCTCCTTTCATTGCTTTTGCAAGTGGAGATTTCAAGCGATTTGAGGCCAATTGTAGAAAAGGAAATATCTTCGTATAAAAACTAGACAGAACAATTCTCAGAAACTGCTCTGTGATTTGTGCGTTGAACTCACAGATTTTAAACTTTCTTTTCATAGAGCAGTTTGGAAACACTCTTTTTGTAAAGTCTGCAAGCGGATATTTGGACCTCTTTCAGGCCTTCTTTGGAAACGGGATTTCTCCATATACTGCTAGCCCGAAGCATTTTCAGTAACTACTTTGTGTTGTGTGTATTCAACTCACAGATTTGAACCTTTCTTTAGACAGAGCAGATTTGAAACGCTCTTTTCGTGGCTTTTGCAAGTAAAGATTTCAAGCGATTTGAGGCGAATGGTAGAAAAGGAAATATCTTCGTATAAAAACTAGACAGAGTCATTCTCAGAATCTACTTTGTGATGTGTGCGTGCAACTCACGGAGATTAACCTTTCTTTTCATAGAGAAGTTTGGAAACACTCTGTCTGTAAGGTCTTCAAGTGGATATTTAGATTTCTGTGAGGCCTTCGTTGCAAACGGGATTTCTTCATATACTGCCCGACAGAAGAATTCTCAGTTACTACTTTCTGTTGTGTGCATTCAACTCACAGAGTTGAACCTTCCTTTATTCAGAGCAGTTTTGAAACACTCTTTTTGTGGAATTTGCAAGTGGAGATTTCAAGGGATTTGAGGCCAATCTTAGAAATGGAAATATCTTCGAATTAAAACTACACAGAATCATTCGCAGAAACTAGTTTGTGATGTGTGCGTTCAACTCACAGAGTTTAACGTTTCTTTTCATAGAGCAGTTTGGAAACGCTGTCTTTCTAAAGTCTGCAAGTGGATATCAGGACCTCTTTGAGGCCTTCCTTGGAAACGGGATTTCCTCCTATAATGCTAGACAGAAGAATTCCCAGTCACTTCTTTGTGTTGTGTGCATTCAACTCAGAGATTTGAACCTTCCTTTAGAGAGAACACATTTAAAACTCTCTTTTTGTGTAATTTGCTAGTGCAGATTTCAAGCTCTTCGAGGACAATGGTAGGAAAGGAAATATCTTCGTATTAAAACTAGACAAAATCATTCTCAGAAACTACTTTGTGATGTGTGCATTCCACTCACAGAGTTTAACCTTTCTTTTAATTGAGCAGTTTGGAAACACTCTCTTTGTAAGGTCTGTAGTAGGATATTTGGACCTCTTTGAGGCCTTCGTTGGAAACGGGATTTCTTCATATAATGCTAGATAGAAGAATTCTCAGTAACTTGTTTGTGTTGTGTGTATTCAACTAACAGAGTTGAACCTTCCTTTAGAAAGAGCAGTTTTCAAACACTCTGTTTGTGCAATTTCCAATGGAGATTTCTAGGGATTTGAGGCCAGTCTTAGAAATGGAAATATCTTTGTATAAAAACTAGACAGTGTCATTCTGAGATACTACCTTGTGATGTGTGCGTTCAACTCACAGAGTTTAACCTTTCTTTTCATAGAGCAGTTTGGAAACACTCTATTTGTAAAGTCTGCAAGTGGATATTTGGACCTCTTTGAGGCCTTCGTTGGAAACGGGATTTCTTCCTATAATGCTAGACAGAAGTATTCTCAGTCACTTCTTTGTGTTGTGTGCATTCAACTCAGAGATTTGAACCTTCCTTTAGAGAGAGCACATTTGAAACACTCTTTTTGTGTAATTTGCTAGTGCAGATTTCAAGCTCTTCGAGGACAATGGTAGAAAAGGAAATATCTTCGTATGAAAACTAGACAAACTCATTCTCAGAAACTACTTTGTGAGGTGTGCGTTCCACTCACAGAGTTTAACCTTTCTTTTAATTGAGCAGTTTGGAAACACTATTTTTGTAAAGTCTGCAAGTGGATATTTGGACTTCTTTGAGCCCTTCGTTGGAAACGGGATTTCTCCATATACTGCTAGACCGAAGCATTTTCAGTAACTACTTTGTGTTGTGTGTATTCAACTCACAGATTTGAACCTTTCTTTAGACAGAGCAGATTTAAAACGCTCTTTTCGTGGCTTTTGCATGTGGAGGTTTCAAACGATTTGAGGCCAATGGTAGAAAAGGAAATATCTTCGTATAAAAACTAGAGAGAATCATTCTCAGAATCTACTTTGTGATGTGTGCGTGCAACTCACGGAGATTAACCTTTCTTTTCACAGAGAAGTTTGGAAACACTCTGTCTGTAAGGTCTGCAAGTGGATATTTAGATTTCTGTGAGGCCTTCGTTGCAAACGGGATTTCTTCATATACTGCCCGACAGAAGAATTCTCAGTAACTACTTTGTGTTGTGTAAATTCAACACACGGAGTTGAACCTTCCTTTATTCAGAGCAGTTTTGAAACACTCTTTTTGTGGAATTTGCAAGTGGAGATTTCAAGGGATTTGAGGCCAATCTTAGAAATGGAAATATCTTCGAATTAAAACTACACAGAATCGTTCGCAGAAACTAGTTTGTGATGTGTGCGTTTAACTCACAGAGTTTAACGTTTCTTTTCATAGAGCAGTTTGGAAACGCTCTCTTTGTAAAGTCTCCAAGTGGATATTTGGAGCTGTTTGAGCCCTTCGTTGGAAACGGGACTTCTTCATATAATGCTAGACAGAAGAATACTCAGTAACTTCTTTGTGCTGTGTGTATTCAACTCACAAAGTTGAACTTTTCTTTAGACAGGGCAGATTTGATACTCTCTTTTCGTGGCTTTTGCCAGAGGAGATTTCAAGTCATTGGAGGCCAATGGTAGAAAAGAAAATATCTTCGTATAATAACTAAACAGAATCATTCTCAGAAACTTCTTTGTGATGTGTGCGTTCAACTCACAGAGTTTAACCTTTCTTTTCATAGAGCAGGTTGGAAGCACTCTCTTTGTAAAGTCTGCAAGCAGATATTTGGACCTTTTTGAGGCCTTCGTTGGAAACGGGATTTCTTCATATACTGCTAGACCGAAGAATTCTCAGTAACTTCTTTGGGTTGTGTGTATTCAATTCACAGAGTTGAACCTTTCTTTAGACCGAGCAGATTTGAAACTCTCCTTTCGTTGCTTTTGCAAGTGGAGATTTCAAGCGATTTGAGGCCAATTGTAGAAAAGGAAATATCTTCGTATAAAAACTAGACAGAACAATTCTCAGAAACTGCTCTGTGATTTGTGCGTTCAACTCACAGATTTTAAACTTTCTTTTCATAGAGCAGTTTGGAAACACTCTTTTTGTAAAGTCTGCAAGCGGATATTTGGACCTCTTTCAGGCCTTCTTTGGAAACGGGATTTCTCCATATACTGCTAGCCCGAAGACTTTTCCGTAACTACTTTGTGTTGTGTGTATTCAACTCACAGATTTGAACCTTTCTTTAGACAGAGCAGATTTGAAATGCACTTTTCGTGGCTTTTGCAAGTAAAGATTTCAAGCGATTTGAGGCCAATGGTAGAAAAGGAAATATCTTCGTATAAAAAGTAGACAGAATCATTCTCAGAATCTACTTTGTGATGTGTGCGTGCAACTCACGGAGATTAACCTTTCTTTTCATAGAGAAGTTTGGAAACACTCTGTCTGTAAGGTCTGCAAGTGGATATTTAGATTTCTGTGAGGCCTTCGTTGCAAACGGGATTTCTTCATATACTGCCCGACAGAAGAATTCCCAGTTACTACTTTCTGCTCTGTGCATTCAACTCACAGAGTTGAACCTTCCTTTATTCAGAGCAGTTTTGAAACACTCTTTTTGTGGAATTTGCAAGTGGAGATTTCAAGGGATTTGAGGCCAATCTTAGAAATGGAAATATCTTCGAATTAAAACTACACAGAATCATTCGCAGAAACTAGTTTGTGATGTGTGCGTTCAACTCACAGAGTTTAACCTTTCTTTTCATAGAGCAGTTTGGAAACGCTGTCTTTGTAAAGTCTGCAAGTGGATATTAGGACCTCTTTGAGGCCTTCGTTGGAAACGGGATTTCCTCCTATAATGCTAGACAGAAGAATTCCCAGTCACTTCTTTGTGTTGTGTGCATTCAACTCAGAGATTTGAACCTTTCTTTAGAGAGAGCACATTTGAAACACTCTTTTTGTGTAATTTGCTAGTGCAGATTTCAAGCTCTTCGAGGACAATGGTAGGAAAGGAAATATCTTCGTATGAAAACTAGACAAAATCATTCTCAGAAACTACTTTGTGATGTGTGCGTTCCACTCACAGAGTTTAACCTTTCTTTTAATTGAGCAGTTTGGAAACACTCTCTTTGTAAAGTCTGCAGTAGGATATTTGGACCTCTTTGAGGCCTTCGTTGGAAACGAGATTTCTTCATATAATGCTAGATAGAAGAATTCTCAGTAACTTGTTTGTGTTGTGTGTATTCAACTAACAGAGTTGAACCTTCCTTTAGAAAGAGCAGTTTTCAAACACTCTGTTTGTGCAATTTCCAATGGAGATTTCTAGGGATTTGAGGCCAGTCTTAGAAATGGAAATATCTTTGTATAAAAACTAGACAGTGTCATTCTGAGATACTACCTTTTGATGTGTGCGTTCAACTCACAGAGTTTAACCTTTCTTTTCATAGAGCAGTTTGGAAACACTCTATTTGTAAAGTCTGCAAGTGGATATTTGGACCTCTTTGAGGCCTTCTTTGGAAACGGGATTTCTTCCTGTAATGCTAGATAGAAGTATTCTCAGTCACTTCTTTGTGTTGTGTGCATTCAACTAAGAGATTTGAACCTTCCTTTAGAGAGAGCACATTTGAAACACTCTTTTTGTGTAATTTGCTAGTGCAGATTTCAAGCTCTTCGAGGACAATGGTAGAAAAGGAAATATCTTCGTATGAAAACTAGACAAACTCATTCTCAGAAACTACTTTGTGATGTGTGCATTCCACTCACAGAGTTTAACCTTTCTTTTAATTGAGCAGTTTGGAAACACTATTTTTGTAAAGTCTGCAAGTGGATATTTGGACTTCTTTGAGCCCTTCGTTGGAAACGGGATTTCTCCATATACTGCTAGACCGAAGAATTCTCAGTAACTTGTTTGTGTTGTGTGTATTCAACTAACAGAGTTGAACCTTTCTTTAGACAGAGCAGATTTGAAACGCTCTTTTCGTGGCTTTTGCATGTGGAGGTTTCAAACGATTTGGGGCCAATGGTAGAAAAGGAAATATCTTCGTATAAAAACTAGAGAGAATCATTCTCAGAAATTACTTTCTGATGTGTGCGTGCAACTCACGGAGATTAACCTTTCTTTTCATAGAGCAGTTTGGAAAGACTCTGTCTGTAAGGTCTGCAAGTGGATATTTAGATTTCCTGTGAGGCCTTCGTTGCAAACGGGATTTCTTCATATACTCACAGACAGAAGAATTCTCAGTAACTCTTTGTGTTGTGTGCATTCAACTCACGGAGTTGAACCTTCATTTATTCAGAGCAGTTTTGAAACACTCTTTTTGTGGAATTTGCAAGTGGAGATTTCAAGGGATTTGAGGCCAATCTTAGAAATGGAAATATCTTCGAATTAAAACTACACAGAATCGTTCGCAGAAACTAGTTTGTGATATGTGCGTTCAACTCACAGAGTTTAACGTTTCTTTTCATAGAGCAGTTTGGAAACGCTCTCTTTGTAAAGTCTCCAAGTGGATATTTGGAGCTGTTTGAGCCCTTCGTTGGAAACGGGACTTCTTCATATAATGCTAGACAGAAGAATACTCAGTAACTTCTTTGTGCTGTGTGTATTCAACTCACAGAGTTGAAGTTTTCTTTAGACAGAGCAGATTTGATAGTGTCTTTTCGTGGCTTTTGCCAGAGGAGATTTCAAGTCATTGGAGGCCAATGGTAGAAAAGAAAATATCTTCGTATAATAACTAAACAGAATCATTCTCAGAAACTTCTTTGTGATGTGTGCGTTCAACTCACAGAGTTTAACCTTTCTTTTCCTAGAGCAGGTTGGAAGCACTCTCATTGTAAAGTCTGCAAGCAGATAGTTGGACCTTTTCGAGGCCTTCGTTGGAAACGGGATTTCTTCATATACTGCTAGACCGAAGAATTCTCAGTAACTTCTTTGGGTTGTGTGTATTCAATTCACAGAGTTGAACCTTTCTTTAGACCGAGCAGATTTGAAACTCTCCTTTCGTTGCTTTTGCAAGTGGAGATTTCAAGCGATTTGAGGCCAATTGTAGAAAAGGAAATATCTTCGTACAAAAACTAGACAGAACAATTCTCAGAAACTGCTCTGTGATTTGTGCGTTCAACTCACAGATTTTAAACTTTCTTTTCATAGAGCAGTTTGGAAACACTCTTTTTGTAAAGTCTGCAAGCGGATATTTGGACCTCTTTCAGGCCTTCTTTGGAAACGGGATTTCTCCATATACTGCTAGCCCGAAGAATTTTCAGTAACTACTTTGTGTTGTGTGTATTCAACTCACAGATTTGAACCTTTCTTTAGACAGAGCAGATTTGAAACGCTCTTTTCGTGGCTTTTGCAAGTAAAGATTTCAAGCGATTTGAGGCCAATGGTAGAAAAGGAAATATACTTCGTATAAAAACTAGACAGAATCATTCTCAGAATCTACTTTGTGATGTGTGCGTGCAACTCACGGAGATTAACCTTTCTTTTCATAGAGAAGTTTGGAAACACTCTGTCTGTAAGGTCTGCAAGTGGATATTTAGATTTCTGTGAGGCCTTCGTTGCAAACGGGATTTCTTCATATACTGCCCGACAGAAGAATTCTCAGTAACTACTTTGTGTTGTGTAAATTCAACACACAGAGTTGAACCTTCCTTTATTCAGAGCAGTTTTGAAACACTCTTTTTGTGGAATTTGCAAGTGGAGATTTCAAGGGATTTGAGGCCAATCTTAGAAATGGAAATATCTTCGAATTAAAACTACACAGAATCGTTCGTAGAAACTAGTTTGTGATGTGTGCGTTCAACTCACAGAGTTTAACGTTTCTTTTCATAGAGCAGTTTGGAAACGCTCTCTTTGTAAAGTCTCCAAGTGGATATTTGGAGCTGTTTGAGCCCTTCGTTGGAAACGGGACTTCTTCATATAATGCTAGACAGAAGAATACTCAGTAACTTCTTTGTGCTGTGTGTATTCAACTCACAGAGTTGAACTTTTCTTTAGACAGAGCAGATTTGATACTCTCTTTTCGTGGGTTTTGCCAGAGGAGATTTCAAGTCATTGGAGGCCAATGGTAGAAAAGAAAATATCTTCGTATAATAACTAAACAGAATCATTCTCAGAAACTTCTTTGTGATGTGTGCGTTCAACTCACAGAGTTTAACCTTTCTTTTCATAGAGCAGGTTGGAAGCACTCTCTTTGTAAAGTCTGCAAGCAGATATTTGGACCTTTCTGAGGCCTTCGTTGGAAACGGGATTTCTTCATATACTGCTAGACCGAAGAATTCTCAGTAACTTCTTTGGGTTGTGTGTATTCAATTCACAGAGTTGAACCTTTCTTTAGACCGAGCAGATTTGAAACTCTCCTTTCGTTGCTTTTGCAAGTGGAGATTTCAAGCGATTTGAGGCCAATTGTAGAAAAGGAAATATCTTCGTATAAAAACTAGACAGAACAATTCTCAGAAACTGCTCTGTGATTTGTGCGTTCAACTCACAGATTTTAAACTTTCTTTTCATAGAGCAGTTTGGAAACACTCTTTTTGTAAAGTCTGCAAGCGGATATTTGGACCTCTTTCAGGCCTTCTTTGGAAATGGGATTTCTCCATATACTGCTAGCCCGAAGAATTTTCAGTAACTACTTTGTGTTGTGTGTATTCAACTCACAGATTTGAACCTTTCTTTAGACAGAGCAGATTTGAAACGCTCTTTTCGTGGCTTTTGCAAGTAAAGATTTCAAGCGATTTGAGGCCAATGGTAGAAAAGGAAATATACTTCGTATAAAAACTAGACAGAATCATTCTCAGAATCTACTTTGTGATGTGTGCGTGCAACTCACGGAGATTAACCTTTCTTTTCATAGAGAAGTTTGGAAACACTCTGTCTGTAAGGTCTGCAAGTGGATATTTAGATTTCTGTGAGGCCTTCATTGCAAACGGGATTTCTTCATATACTTCCCGACAGCAGAATTCTCAGTTACTACTTTCAGTTGTGTGCATTCAACTTACAGAGTTGAACCTTCCTTTATTCAGAGCAGTTTTGAAACACTCTTTTTGTGGAATTTGCAAGTGGAGATTTCAAGGGATTTGAGGCCAATCTTAGAAATGGAAATATCTTCGAATTAAAACTACACAGAATCATTCGCAGAAACTAGTTTGTGATGTGTGTGTTCAACTCACAGAGTTTAACGTTTCTTTTCATAGAGCAGTTTGGAAACGCTGTCTTTGTAAAGTCTGCAAGTGGATATTAGGACCTCTTTGAGGCCTTCGTTGGAAACGGGATTTCCTCCTATAATGCTGGACAGAAGAATTCCCAGTCACTTCTTTGTGTTGTGTGCATTCAACTCAGAGATTTGAACCTTCCTTTAGAGAGAGCACATTTGAAACACTCTTTTTGTGTAATTTGCTAGTGCAGATTTCAAGCTCTTCGAGGACAATGGTAGGAAAGGAAATATCTTCGTATTAAAACTAGACAAAATCATTCTCAGAAACTACTTTGTGATGTGTGCGTTTCACTCACAGAGTTTAACCTTTCTTTTAATTGAGCAGTTTGGAAACACTCTCTTTGTAAAGTCTGCAGTAGGATATTTGGACCTCTTTGAGGCCTTCGTTGGAAACGAGATTTCTTCATATAATGCTAGATAGAAGTATTCTCAGTCACTTCTTTGTGTTGTGTGCATTCAACTAACAGAGTTGATTCTTCCTTTAGAAAGAGCAGTTTTCAAACACTCTGTTTGTGCAATTTCCAATGGAGATTTCTAGGGATTTGAGGCCAGTCTTAGAAATGGAAATATCTTTGTATAAAAACTAGACAGTGCCATTCTGAGATACTACCTTGTGATGTGTGCATTCAACTCACAGAGTTTAAGCTTTTTTTTCATAGAGCAGTTTGGAAACACTCTATTTGTAAAGTCTGCAAGTGGATATTTGGACCTCTTTGAGGCCTTCGTTGGAAACGGGATTTCTTCCTATAATGTTAGACAGAAGTATTCTCAGTCACTTCTTTGTGTTGTGTGCATTCAACTCAGAGATTTGAACCTTCATTTAGAGAGAGCACATTTGAAACACTCTTTTTGTGTAATTTGCTAGTGCAGATTTCAAGCTCTTCGAGGACAATGGTAGAAAAGGAAATATCTTCGTATGAAAACTAGACAAACTCATTCTCAGAAACTACTTGGTGATGTGTGCGTTCCACTCACAGAGTTTAACCTTTCTTTTAATTGAGCAGTTTGGAAACACTATTTTTGTAAAGTCTGCAAGTGGATATTTGGACTTCTTTGAGCCCTTCGTTGGAAACGGGATTTCTCCATATACTGCTAGACCGAAGCATTTTCAGTAACTACTTTGTGTTGTGTGTATTCAACTCACAGATTTGAACCTTTCTTTAGACAGAGCAGATTTGAAACGCTCTTCTCGTGGCTTTTGCATGTGGAGGTTTCAAACGATTTGAGGCCAATGGTAGAAAAGGAAATATCTTCGTATAAATACTAGAGAGAATCATTCTCAGAAATTACTTTCTGATGTGTGCGTGCAACTCACGGAGATTAACCTTTCTTTTCATAGAGCAGTTTGGAAAGACTGTCTGTAAGGTCTGCAAGTGGATATTTAGATTTCTGGGAGGCCTTCGTTGCAAACGGGATTTCTTCATATACTCACAGACAGAAGAATTCTCAGTAACTCTTTGTGTTGTGTGCATTCAACTCACGGAGTTGAACCTTCCTTTATTCAGAGCAGTTTTGAAACACTCTTTTTGTGGAATTTGCAAGTGGAGATTTCAAGGGATTTGAGGCCAATCTTAGAAATGGAAATATCTTCGAATTAAAACTACAAAGAATCGTTCGCAGAAACTAGTTTGTGATGTGTGCGTTCAACTCACAGGAGTTTAACGTTTCTTTTCATGGAGCAGTTTGGAAACGCTCTCTTTGTAAAGTCTCCAAGTGGATATTTGGAGCTGTTTGAGCCCTTCGTTGGAAACGGGACTTCTTCATATAATGCTAGACAGAAGAATACTCAGTAACTTCTTTGTGCTGTGTGTACTCAACTCACAGAGTTGAACTTTTCTTTAGACAGAGCAGATTTGATACTCTCTATTCGTGGCTTTTGCCAGAGGAGATTTCAAGTCATTGGAGGCCAATGGTAGAAAAGAAAATATCTTCGTATAATAACTAAACAGAATCATTCTCAGAAACTTCTTTGTGATGAGTGCGTTCAACTCACAGAGTTTAACCTTTCTTTTCATAGAGCAGGTTGGAAGCACTCTCTTTGTAAAGTCTGCAAGCAGATATTTGGACCTTTTTGAGGCCTTCGTTGGAAACGGGATTTCTTCATATACTGCTAGACCGAAGAATTCTCAGTAACTTCTTTGGGTTGTGTGTATTCAATTCACAGAGTTGAACCTTTCTTTAGACCGAGCAGATTTGAAACTCTCCTTTCGTTGCTTTTGCAAGTGGAGATTTCAAGCGATTTGAGGCCAATTGTAGAAAAGGAAATATCTTCGTACAAAAACTAGACAGAACAATTCTCAGAAACTACTCTGTGATGTGTGCGTGCAACTCACAGAGATTAACCTTTCTTTGCATACAGCAGTTTGGATAGACTCTTTTTGTAAAGTCTGTAAGTGGATATTTGGACATCTTTGAGGCCTTCGTTGGAAACGGGATTTCTTCATATACTGCTAGACCGAAGAATTTTCAGTAACTACTTTGTGTTGTGTGTATTCAACTCACAGATTTGAACCTTTCTTTAGACAGAGCAGATTTGAAACGCTCTTTTCGTGGCTTTTGCAAGTAAAGATTTCAAGCGATTTGAGGCCAATGGTAGAAAAGGAAATATCTTCGTATAAAAACTAGACAGAATCATTCTCAGAATCTACTTTGTGATGTGTGCGTGCAACTCACGGAGATTAACCTTTCTTTTCATAGAGAAGTTTGGAAACACTCTGTCTGTAAGGTCTGCAAGTGGATATTTAGATTTCTGTGAGGCCTTCGTTGCAAACGGGATTTCTTCATATACTGCCCGACAGAAGAATTCTCAGTAACTACTTTGTGTTGTGTGCATTCAACTCACAGTGTTGAACCTTCCTTTATTCAGAGCAGTTTTGAAACACTCTTTTTGTGGAATTTGCAAGTGGAGATTTCAAGGGATTTGAGGCCAATCTTAGAAATGGAAATATCTTCGAATTAAAACTACACAGAATCATTCGCAGAAACTAGTTTGTGATGTGTGCGTTCAACTCACAGAGTTTAACGTTTCTTTTCATAGAGCAGTTTGGAAATGCTGTCTTTGCAAAGTCTGCAAGTGGATATTAGGACCTCTTTGAGGCCTTCGTTGGAAACGGGATTTCCTCCTATAATGCTAGACAGAAGAATTCCCAGTCACTTCTCTGTGTTGTGTGCATTCAACTCAGAGATTTGAACCTTCCTTTAGAGAGAGCACATTTAAAACACTATTTTTGTGTAATTTGCTAGTGCAGATTTCAAGCTCTTCGAGGACAATGGTAGGAAAGGAAATATCTTCGTATTAAAACTGGACAAAATCATTCTCAGAAACTACTTTGTGATGTGTGCGTTCCACTCACAGACTTTAACCTTTCTTTTAATTGAGCAGTTTGGAAACACTCTCTTTGTAAAGTCTGCAGTAGGATATTTGGACCTCTTTGAGGCCTTCGTTGGAAACGGGATTTCTTCTTATAATGCTAGATAGAAGAATTCTCAGTAACTTGTTTGTGTTGTGTGTATTCAACTAACAGAGTTGAACCTTCCTTTAGAAAGAGCAGTTTTCAAACACTCTGTTTGTGCAATTTCCAATGGAGATTTCTAGGGATTTGAGGCCAGTCTTAGAAATGGAAATATCTTTGTATAAAAACTAGACAGTATCATTCTGAGAAACTACTTTGTGATGTGTCCGTGCAACTCAGAGAGGTTAACCTTTCTTTTCATAGAGCAGTTTGGAAAGACTCTGTAAAGTCTGCAAGTGGATATTTGGACATCTTAGAGGCCTTCGTTGGAAACGGGATTTCTTCATATACTGCTAGACAGAAATATTCTCAGTCACTTCTTTGTGTTGTGTGCATTCAACTCAGAGATTTGAACCTTCCTTTAGAGAGAGCACATTTGAAACACTCTATTTGTGTAATTTGCTAGTACAGATTTCAAGCTCTTCGAGGACAATGGTAGAAAAGGAAATATCTTCGTATGAAAACTAGACAAACTCATTCTCAGAAACTACTTTGTGATGTGTGCGTTCCACTCACAGAGTTTAACCTTTCTTTTAATTGAGCAGTTTGGAAACACTATTTTTGTAAGTCTGCAAGTGGATATTTGGACTTCTTTGAGCCCTTCGTTGGAAACGGGATTTCTCCATATACTGCTAGACCGAAGCATTTTCAGTAACTACTTTGTGTTGTGTGTATTCAACTCACAGATTTGAACCTTTGTTTAGACAGAGCAGATTTGAAACGCTCTTTTCGTGGCTTTTGCATGTGGAGGTTTCAAACGATTTGAGGCCAATGGTAGAAAAGGAAATATCTTCGTATAAAAACTAGAGAGAATCATTCTCAGAAATTACTTTCTGATGTGTGCGTGCAACTCACGGAGATTAACCTTTCTTTTCATAGAGCAGTTTGGAAAGACTCTGTCTGTAAGGTCTGCAAGTGGATATTTAGATTTCTGTGAGGCCTTCGTTGCAAACGGGATTTCTTCATATACTCACAGACAGAAGAATTCTCAGTAACTCTTTGTGTTGTGTGCATTCAACTCACGGAGTTGAACCTTCCTTTATTCAGAGCAGTTTTGAAACACTCTTTTTGTGGAATTTGCAAGTGGAGATTTCAAGGGATTTGAGGCCAATCTTAGAAATGGAAATATCTTCGAATTAAAACTACACAGAATCGTTCGCAGAAACTAGTTTGTGATGTGTGCGTTCAACTCACAGAGCTTAACGTTTCTTTCCATAGAGCAGTTTGGAAACGCTCTCTTTGTAAAGTCTCCAAGTGGATATTTGGAGCTGTTTGAGCCCTTCGTTGGAAACGGGACTTCTTCATATAATGCTAGACAGAAGAATACTCAGTAACTTCTTTGTGCTGTGTGTATTCAACTCACAGAGTTGAACTTTTCTTTAGACAGAGCAGATTTGATACTCTCTTTTCGTGGCTTTTGCCAGAGGAGATTTCAACTCATTGGAGGCCAATGGTAGAAAAGAAAATATCTTCGTATAATAACTAAACAGAATCATTCTCAGAAACTTCTTTGTGATGTGTGCATTCAACTCACAGAGTTTAACCTTTCTTTTCATAGAGCAGGTTGGAAGCACTCTCTTTGTAAAGTCTGCAAGCAGATATTTGGACCTTTTTGAGGCCTTCGTTGGAAACGGGATTTCTTCATATACTGCTAGACCGAAGAATTCTCAGTAAGTTCTTTGGGTTGTGTGTATTCAATTCACAGAGTTGAACCTTTCTTTAGACCGAGCAGATTTGAAACTCTCCTTTCGTTGCTTTTGCAAGTGGAGATTTCAAGCGATTTGAGGCCAATTGTAGAAAAGGAAATATCTTCGTATAAAAACTAGACAGAACAATTCTCAGAAACTGCTCTGTGATTTGTGAGTTCAACTCACAGATTTTAAACTTTCTTTTCATAGAGCAGTTTGGAAAACTCTTTTTGTAAAGTCTGCAAGCGGATATTTGGACCTCTTTCAGGCCTTCTTTGGAAACGGGATTTCTCCATATACTGCTAGCCCGAAGCATTTTCAGTAACTACTTTGTGTTGTGTGTATTCAACTCACAGATTTGAACCTTTCTTTAGACAGAGCAGATTTGAAACGCTCTTTTCGTGGCTTTTGCAAGTAAAGATTTCCAGCGATTTGAGGCCAATGGTAGAAAAGGAAATATCTTCGTATAAAAACTAGACAGAATCATTCTCAGAATCTACTTTGTGATGTGTGCGTGCAACTCACGGAGATTAACCTTTCTTTTCATAGAGAAGTTTGGAAACACTCTGTCTGTAAGGTCTGCAAGTGGATATTTAGATTTCTGTGAGGCCTTCGTTGCAAACGGGATTTCTTCATATACTGCCCGACAGAAGAATTCTGTTACTACTTTCTGTTGTGTGCATTCAACTCACAGAGTTGAACCTTCCTATATTCAGAGCAGTTTTGAAACACTCTTTTTGTGGAATTTGCAAGTGAAGATTTCAAGGGATTTGAGGCCAATCTTAGAAATGGAAATATCTTCGAATTAAAACTACACAGAATCATTCGCAGAAACTAGTTTGTGATGTGTGCGTTCAACTCACAGAGTTTAACGTTTCTTTTCATAGAGCAGTTTGGAAACGCTGTCTTTGTAAAGTCTGCAAGTGGATATTAGGACCTCTTTGAGGCCTTCGTTGGAAACGGGATTTCCTCCTATAATGCTAGACAGAAGAATTCCCAGTCACTTCTTTGTGTTGTGTGCATTCAACTCAGAGATTTGAACCTTCCTTTAGAGAGAGCACATTTAAAACACTCTTTTTGTGTAATTTGCTAGTGCAGATTTCAAGCTCTTCGAGGACAATGGTAGGAAAGGAAATATCTTCGTATTAAAACTAGACAAAATCATTCTCAGAAACTACTTTGTGATGTGTGCGTTCCACTCACAGAGTTTAACCTTTCCTTTAATTGAGCAGTTTGGAAACACTCTCTTTGTAAAGTCTGCAGTAGGATATTTGGACCTCTTTGAGGCCTTCGTTGGAAACGGGATTTCTTCATATAATGCTAGATAGAAGAATTCTCAGTAACTTGTTTGTGTTGTGTGTATTCAACTAACAGAGTTGAACCTTCCTTTAGAAAGAGCAGTTTTCAAACACTCTGTTTGTGCAATTTCCAATGGAGATTTCTAGGGATTTGAGGCCAGTCTTAGAAATGGAAATATCTTTGTATAAAAACTAGACAGTGTCATTCTGAGATACTACCTTGTGATGTGTGCGTTCAACTCACAGAGTTTAACCTTTCTTTTCATAGAGCAGTTTGGAAACACTCTATTTGTAAAGTCTGCAAGTGGATATTTGGACCTCTTTGAGGCCTTCGTTGGAAACGCGATTTCTTCCTATAATGTTAGACAGAAGTATTCTCAGTCACTTCTTTGTGTTGTGTGCATTCAACTCAAAGATTTGAACCTTCCTTTAGAGAGAGCACATTTGAAACACTCTTTTTGTGTAATTTGCTAGTGCAGATTTCAAGCTCTTCGAGGACAATGGTAGAAAAGGAAATATCTTCGTATGAAAACTAGACAAACTCATTCTCAGAAACTACTTTGTGATGTGTGCGTTCCACTCACAGAGTTTAACCTTTCTTTTAATTGAGCTGTTTGGAAACACTATTTTTGTAAAGTCTGCAAGTGGATATTTGGACTTGCTTTGAGCCCTTCGTTGGAAAGGGGACTTCTTCATATAATGCTAGACAGAAGCATTTTCAGTAACTACTTTGTGTTGTGTGTATTCAACTCACAGATTTGAACCTTTCTTTAGACAGAGCAGATTTGAAACGCTCTTTTCGTGGCTTTTGCATGTGGAGGTTTCAAACGATTTGAGGCCAATGGTAGAAAAGGAAATATCTTCGTATAAAAACTAGAGAGAATCATTCTCAGAAATTACTTTCTGATGTGTGCGTGCAACTCACGGAGATTAACCTTTCTTTTCATAGAGCAGTTTGGAAAGACTCTGTCTGTAAGGTCTGCAAGTGGATATTTAGATTTCTGTGAGGCGTTCGTTGCAAACGGGATTTCTTCATATACTCACAGACAGAAGAATTCTCAGTAACTCTTTGTGTTGTGTGCATTCAACTCACGGAGTTGAACCTTCCTTTATTCAGAGCAGTTTTGAAACACTCTTTTTGTGGAATTTGCAAGTGGAGATTTCAAGGGATTTGAGGCCAATCTTAGAAATGGAAATATCTTCGAATTAAAACTACACAGAATCGTTCGCAGAAACTAGTTTGTGATGTGTGCGTTCAACTCACAGAGTTTAACGTTTCTTTTCATAGAGCAGTTTGGAAACGCTCTCTTTGTAAAGTCTCCAAGTGGATATTTGGAGCTGTTTGAGCCGTTCGTTGGAAACGGGACTTCTTCATATAATGCTAGACAGAAGAATACTCAGTAACTTCTTTGTGCTGTGTGTATTCAACTCACAGAGTTGAACTTTTCTTTAGACAGAGCAGATTTGATACTCTCTTTTCGTGGCTTTTGCCAGAGGAGATTTCAAGTCATTGGAGGCCAATGGTAGAAAAGAAAATATCTTCGTATAATAACTAAACAGAATCATTCTCAGAAGCTTCTTTGTGATGTGTGCGTTCAACTCACAGAGTTTAACCTTTGTTTTCATAGAGCAGGTTGGAAGCACTCTCTTTGTAAAGTCTGCAAGCAGATATTTGGACCCTTTTGAGGCCTTCGTTGGAAACGGGATTTCTTCATATACTGCTACACCAAAGAATTCTCAGTAACTTCTTTAGGTTGTGTGTATTCAATTCACAGAGTTGAACCTTTCTTTAGACCGAGCAGATTTGAAACTCTCCTTTCGTTGCTTTTGCAAGTGGAGATTTCAAGCGATTTGAGGCCAATTGTAGAAAAGGAAATATCTTCGTATAAAAACTAGACAGAACAATTCTCGGAAACTGCTCTGTGATTTGAGCGTTCAACTCACAGATTTTAAACTTTCTTTTCATAGAGCAGTTTGGAAACACTCTTTTTGTAAAGTCTGCAAGCGGATATTTGGACCTCTTTCAGGCCTTCTTTGGAAACGGGATTTCTCCATATACTGCTAGCCCGAAGAATTTTCAGTAACTACTTTGTGTTGTGTGTATTCAACTCACAGATTTGAACCTTTCTTTAGACAGAGCAGATTTGAAACGCTCTTTTCGTGGCTTTTGCAAGTAAAGATTTCAAGCGATTTGAGGCCAATGGTAGAAAAGGAAATATCTTCGTATAAAAACTAGACAGAATCATTCTCAGAAACGACTTTGTGATGTGCGCGTGCAACTCGGAGAGGTTAACCTTTCTTTTCATAGAGCAGTTTGGAAAGACTCTGTCTGTAAAGTCTGCAAGTGGATATTTGGACTTCTTAGAGGCCTTCGTTGGAAACGGGATTTCTTCATATACTGCTAGACAGAAGAATTCCCAGTTACTATTTTCTGCTGTGTGCATTCAACTCACAGAGTTGAACCTTCCTTTATTCAGAGCAGTTTTGAAACACTCTTTTTGTGGAATTTGCAAGTGGAGATTTCAAGGGATTTGAGGCCAATCTTAGAAATGGAAATATCTTCGAATTAAAACTACACAGAATCATTCGCAGAAACTAGTTTGTGATGTGTGCGTTCAACTCACAGAAGTTTAACGTTTCTTTTCATAGAGCAGTTTGGAAACGCTGTCTTTGTAAAGTCTGCAAGTGGATATTAGGACCTCTTTGAGGCCTTCGTTGGAAACGGGATTTCCTCCTATAATGCTAGACAGAAGAATTCCCAGTCACTTCTTTGTGTTGTGTGCATTCAACTCAGAGATTTGAACCTTCCTTTAGAGAGAGCACATTTGAAACACTCTTTTTGTGTAATTTGCTAGTGCAGATTTCAAGCTCTTCGAGGACAATGGTAGGAAAGGAAATATCTTTGTATTAAAACTAGACAAAATCATTCTCAGAAACTACTTTGTGATGTGTGCGTTCCACTCACAGAGTTTAACCTTTCTTTTCATTGAGCAGTTTGGAAACACTCTCTTTGTAAAGTCTGCAGTAGGATATTTGGAACTCTTTGAGGCCTTCGTTGGAAACGGGATTTCTTCATATAATGCTAGATAGAAGAATTCTCAGTAACTTGTTTGTGTTGTGTGTATTCAACTAACAGAGTTGAACCTTCCTTATAGAAAGAGCAGTTTTCAAACACTCTGTTTGTGCAATTTCCAAAGGAGATTTCTAGGGATTTGAGGCCAGTCTTAGAAATGGAAATATCTTTGTATAAAAACTAGACAGTGTCATTCTGAGATACTACCTTGTGATGTGTGCGTTCAACTCACAGAGTTTAACCTTTCTTTTCATAGAGCAGTTTGGAAACACTCTTTTTGTAAAGTCTGCAAGCGGATATTTGGACCTCTTTCAGGCCTTCTTTGGAAACGGGATTTCTCCATATACTGCTAGCCCGAAGTATTCTCAGTCACTTCTTTGTGTTGTGTGCATTCAACTCAGAGATTTGAACCTTCCTTTAGAGAGAACACATTTGAAACACTCTTTTTGTGTAATTTGCTAGTGCAGATTTCAAGCTCTTCGAGGACAATGGTAGAAAAGGAAATATCTTCGTATGAAAACTAGACAAACTCATTCTCAGAAACTACTTTGTGATGTGTGCGTTCCACTCACAGAGTTTAACCTTTCTTTTAATTGAGCAGTTTGGAAACACTATTTTTGTAAAGTCTGCAAGTGGATATTTGGACTTCTTTGAGCCCTTCGTTGGAAACGGGATTTCTCCATATACTGCTAGACCGAAGCATTTTCAGTAACTACTTTGTGTTGTGTGTATTCAACTCACAGATTTGAACCTTTCTTTAGACAGAGCAGATTTGAAACGCTCTTTTCGTGGCTTTTGCATGTGGAGGTTTCAAACGATTTGAGGCCAATGGTAGAAAAGGAAATATCTTCGTATAAAAACTAGAGAGAATCATTCTCAGAAATTACTTTCTGATGTGTGCGTGCAACTCACGGAGATTAACCTTTCTTTTCATAGAGCAGTTTGGAAAGACTCTGTCTGTAAGGTCTGCAAGTGGATATTTAGATTTCTGGGAGGCCTTCGTTGCAAACGGGATTTCTTCATATACTCACAGACAGAAGAATTCTCAGTAACTCTTTGTGTTGTGTGCATTCAACTCATGGAGTTGAACCTTCCTTTATTCAGAGCAGTTTTGAAACACTCTTTTTGTGGAATTTGCAAGTGGAGATTTCAAGGGATTTGAGGCCAATCTTAGAAATGGAAATATCTTCGAATTAAAACTACACAGAATCGTTCGCAGAAACTAGTTTGTGATGTGTGCGTTCAACTCACAGAGTTTAACGTTTCTTTTCATAGAGCAGTTTGGAAACGCTCTCTTTGTAAAGTCTCCAAGTGGATATTTGGAGCTGTTTGAGCCCTTCGTTGGAAACGGGACTTCTTCATATAATGCTAGACAGAAGAATACTCAGTAACTTCTTTGTGCTGTGTGTATTCAACTCACAGAGTTGAACTTTTCTTTAGACAGAGCAGATTTGATACTCTCTTTTCGTGGCTTTTGCCAGAGGAGATTTCAAGTCATTGGAGGCCAATGGTAGAAAAGAAAATATCTTCGTATAATAACTAAACAGAATCATTCTCAGAAACTTCTTTGTGATGTGTGCGTTCAACTCACAGAGTTTAACCTTTCTTTTCATAGAGCAGGTTGGAAGCACTCTCTTTGTAAAGTCTGCAAGCAGATATTTGGACCTTTTTGAGGCCTTCGTTGGAAACGGGATTTCTTCATATACGGCTAGACCGAAGAATTCTCAGTAACTTCTTTGGGTTGTGTGTATTCAATTCACAGAGTTGAACCTTTCTTTAGACCGAGCAGATTTGAAACTCTCCTTTCGTTGCTTTTGCAAGTGGAGATTTCAAGCGATTTGAGGCCAATTGTAGAAAAGGAAATATCTTCGTATAAAAACTAGACAGAACAATTCTCAGAAACTGCTCTGTGATTTGTGCGTTCAACTCACAGATTTTAAACTTGCTTTTCATAGAGCAGTTTGGAAACACTCTTTTTGTAAAGTCTGCAAGCGGATATTTTGACCTCTTTCAGGCCTTCTTTGGAAACGGGATTTCTCCATATGCTGCTAGCCCGAAGCATTTTCAGTAACTACTTTGTGTTGCGTGTATTCAACTCACAGATTTGAACCTTTCTTTAGACAGAGCAGATTTGAAACGCTCTTTTCGTGGCTTTTGCAAGTAAAGATTTCAAGCGATTTGAGGCCAATGGTAGAAAAGGAAATATCTTCGTATAAAAACTAGACGGAATCATTCTCAGAATCTACTTTGTGATGTGTGCGTGCAACTCACGGAGATTAAGCTTTCTTTTCATAGAGAAGTTTGGAAACACTCTGTCTGTAAGGTCTGCAAGTGGATATTTAGATTTCTGTGAGGCCTTCGTTGCAAACGGGATTTCTTCATATACTCACAGACAGAAGAATTCTGTTACTACTTTCTGTTGTGTGCATTCAACTCACAGAGTTGAACCTTCCTATATTCAGAGCAGTTTTGAAACACTCTTTTTGTGGAATTTGCAAGTGGAAATTTCAAGGGATTTGAGGCCAATCTTAGAAATGGAAATATCTTCGAATTAAAACTACACAGAATCATTCGCAGAAACTAGTTTGTGATGTGTGCGTTCAACTCACAGAGTTTAACGTTTCTTTTCATAGAGCAGTTTGGAAACGCTGTCTTTGTAAAGTCTGCAAGTGGATATTAGGACCTCTTTCAGGCCTTCGTTGGAAACGGGATTTCCCCCTATAATGCTAGACAGAAGAATTCCCAGTCACTTCTTTGTGTTGTCTGCATTCAACTCAGAGATTTGAACCTTCCTTTAGAGAGAGCACATTTAAAACACTCTTTTTGTGTAATTTGCTAGTGCAGATTTCAAGCTCTTCGAGGACAATGGTAGGAAAGGAAATATCTTCGTATGAAAACTAGACAAAATCATTCTCAGAAACTACTTTGTGATGTGTGCGTTCCACTCACAGAGTTTAACCTTTCTTTTAATTGAGCAGTTTGGAAACACTCTCTTTGTAAAGTCTGCAGTAGGATATTTGGACCTCTTTGAGGCCTTCGTTGGAAACGGGATTTCTTCATATAATGCTAGATAGAAGAGTTCTCAGTAACTTGTTTGTGTTGTGTGTATTCAACTAACAGAGTTGAACCTTCCTTTAGAAAGAGCAGTTTTCAAACACTCTGTTTGTGCAATTTCCAATGGAGATTTCTAGGGATTTGAGGCCAGTCTTAGAAATGGAAATATCTTTGTATAAAAACTAGACAGTGTCATTCTGAGATACTACCTTGTGATGTGTGCGTTCAACTCACAGAGTTTAACCTTTCTTTTCACAGAGCAGTTTGGAAACACTCTATTTGTAAAGTCTGCAAGTGGATATTTGGACCTCTTTGAGGCCTTCGTTGGAAACGGGATTTCTTCCTATAATGCTAGACAGAAGTATTCTCAGTCACTTCTTTGTGTTGTGTGCATTCAACTCAGAGATTTGAACCTTCCTTTAGAGAGAGCACATTTGAAACACTCTTTTTGTGTAATTTGCTAGTGCAGATTTCAAGCTCTTCGAGGACAATGGTAGGAAAGGAAATATCTTCGTATTAAAACTAGACAAAATCATTCCCAGAAACTACTTTGTGATGTGTGCGTTCCACTCACAGAGTTTAACCTTTCTTTTAATTGAGCAGTTTGGAAACACTATTTTTGTAAAGTCTGCAAGTGGATATTTGGACTTCTTTGAGCCCTTCGTTGGAAACGGGATTTCTCCATATACTGCTAGACTGAAGCATTTTCAGTAACTACTTTGTGTTGTGTGTATTCAACTCACAGATTTGAACCTTTCTTTAGACAGAGCAGATTTGAAACGCTCTTTTCGTGGCTTTTGCATGTGGAGGTTTCAAACGATTTGAGGCCAATGGTAGAAAAGGAAATATCTTCGTATAAAAACTAGAGAGAATCATTCTCAGAAATTACTTTCTGATGTGTGCGTGCAACTCACGGAGATTAACCTTTCTTTTCATAGAGCAGTTTGGAAAGACTCTGTCTGTAAGGTCTGCAAGTGGATATTTAGATTTCTGTGAGGCCTTCGTTGCAAACGGGATTTCTTCATATACTCACAGACAGAAGAATTCTCAGTAACTACTTTGTGTTGTGTGCATTCAACTCACAGTGTTGAACCTTCCTTTATTCAGAGCAGTTTTGAAACACACTTTTTGTGGAATTTGCAAGTGGAGATTTCAAGGGATTTGAGGCCAATCTTAGAAATGGAAATATCTTCGAATTAAAACTACACAGAATCGTTCGCAGAAACTAGTTTGTGATGTGTGCGTTCAACTCACAGAGTTTAACGTTTCTTTTCATAGAGCAGTTTGGAAACGCTCTCTTTGTAAAGTCTCCAAGTGGATATTTGGAGCTCTTTGAGCCCTTCGTTGGAAACGGGACTTCTTCATATAATGCTAGACAGAAGAATACTCAGTAACTTCTTTGTGCTGTGTGTATTCAACTCACAGAGTTGAACTTTTCTTTAGACAGAGCAGATTTGATACTCTCTTTTCGTGGCTTTTGCCAGAGGAGATTTCAAGTCATTGGAGGCCAATGGTTGGAAAGAAAATATCTTCGTATAATAACTAAACAGAACAATTCTCAGAAACTACTCTGTGATGTGTGCGTGCAACTCACAGAGATTAACCTTTGTTTGCATACAGCAGTTTGGATAGACTCTGTCTGTAAAGTCTGTAAGTGGATATTTGGACATCTTTGAGGCCTTCGTTGGAAACGGGATTTCTTCATATACTGCTAGACCGAAGAATTCTCAGTAACTTCTTTGGGTTGTGTGTATTCAATTCACAGAGTTGAACCTTTCTTTAGACCGAGCAGATTTGAAACTCTCCTTTCGTTGCTTTTGCAAGTGGAGATTTCAAGCGATTTGAGGCCAATTGTAGAAAAGGAAATATCTTCGTATAAAAACTAGACAGAACAATTCTCAGAAACTGCTCTGTGATTTTTGCGTTCAACTCACAGATTTTAAACTTTCTTTTCATAGAGCAGTTTGGAAACACTCTTTTTGTAAAGTCTGCAAGCGGATATTTGGACCTCTTTCAGGCCTTCTTTGGAAACGGGATTTCTCCATATACTGCTAGCCCGAAGAATTTTCAGTAACTACTTTGTGTTGTGTGTATTCAACTCACAGATTTGAACCTTTCTTTAGACAGAGCAGATTTGAAACGCTCTTTTCGTGGCTTTTGCAAGTAAAGATTTCAAGCGATTTGAGGCCAATGGTAGAAAAGGAAATATCTTCGTATAAAAACTAGACAGAATCATTCTCAGAATCTACTTTGTGATGTATGCATGCAACTCACGGAGATTAACCTTTCTTTTCATAGAGAAGTTTGGAAACACTCTGTCTGTAAGGTCTGCAAGTGGATATTTAGATTTCTGTGAGGCCTTCGTTGCAAACGGGATTTCTTCATATACTGCCCAACAGAAGAATTCTCAGTTACTACTTTCTGCTGTGTGCATTCAACTCACAGAGTTGAACCTTCCTTTATTCAGAGCAGTTTTGAAACACTCTTTTTGTGGAATTTGCAAGTGGAGATTTCAAGGGATTTGAGGCCAATCTTAGAAATGGAAATATCTTCGAATTAAAACTACACAGAATCATTCGCAGAAACTAGTTTGTGATGTGTGCGTTCAACTCACAGAGTTTAACGTTTCTTTTCATAGAGCAGTTTGGAAACGCTGTCTTTGTAAAGTCTGCAAGTGGATATTAGTACCTCTTTGAGGCCTTCGTTGGAAACGGGATTTCCTCTTATAATGCTAGACAGAAGAATTCCCAGTCACTTCTTTGTGTTGTGGGCATTCAACTCAGAGATTTGAACCTTCCTTTAGAGAGAGCACATTTAAAACACTCTTTTTGTGTAATTTGCTAGTGCAGATTTCAAGCTCTTCGAGGACAATGGTAGGAAAGGAAATATCTTCGTATTAAAACTAGACAAAATCATTCTCAGAAACTACTTTGTGATGTGTGCGTTCCACTCACAGAGTTTAACCTTTCTTTTAATTGAGCAGTTTGGAAACACTCTCTTTGTAAAGTCTGCAGTAGGATATTTGGACCTCTTTGAGGCCTTCGTTGGAAACGGGATTTCTTCATATAATGCTAGATAGAAGAATTCTCAGTGACTTGTTTGTGTTGTGTGTATTCAACTAACAGAGTTGAACCTTCCTTTAGAAAGAGCAGTTTTCAAACACTCTGTTTGTGCAATTTCCAATGGAGATTTCTAGGGATTTGAGGCCAGTCTTAGAAATGGAATTATCTTTGTATAAAAACTAAACAGTGTCATTCTGAGATACTACCTTGTGATGTGTGTGTTCAACTCACAGAGTTTAACCTTTCTTTTCATAGAGCTGTTTGGAAACACTCTATTTGTAAAGTCTGCAAGTGGATATTTGGACCTCTTTGAGGCCTTCTTTGGAAACGGGATTTCTTCCTGTAATGCTAGACAGCAGTATTCTCAGTCACTTCTTTGTGTTGTGTGCATTCAACTCAGAGATTTGAACCTTCCTTTAGAGAGAGCACATTTGAAACACTCTATTTGTGTAATTTGCTAGTACAGATTTCAAGCTCTTCGAGGACAATGGTAGAAAAGGAAATATCTTCGTATGAAAACTAGACAAACTCATTCTCAGAAACTACTTTGTGATGTGTGCGTTCCACTCACAGAGTTTAACCTTTCTTTTAATTGAGCAGTTTGGAAACACTATTTTTGTAAAGTCTGCAAGTGGATATTTGGACTTCTTTGAGCCCTTCGTTGAAAACGGGATTTCTCCATATACTGCTACACCGAAGCATTTTCAGTAACTACTTTGTGTTGTGTGTATTCAACTCACAGATTTGAACCTTTCTTTAGACAGAGCAGATTTGAAACGCTCTTTTCGTGGCTTTTGCATGTGGAGGTTTCAAACGATTTGAGGCCAATGGTAGAAAAGGAAATATCTTCGTATAAAAACTAGAGAGAATCATTCTCAGAAATTACTTTGTGATGTGTGCGTGCAACTCACGGAGATTAACCTTTCTTTTCATAGAGCAGTTTGGAAAGACTCTGTCTGTAAGGTCTGCAAGTGGATATTTAGATTTCTGTGAGGCCTTCGTTGCAAACGGGATTTCTTCATATACTCACAGACAGAAGAATTCTCAGTAACTACTTTGTGTTGTGTGCATTCAACTCACAGAGTTGAACCTTCCTTTATTCAGAGCAGTTTTGAAACACACTTTTTGTGGAATTTGCAAGTGGAGATTTCAAGGGATTTGAGGCCAATCTTAGAAATGGAAATATCTTCGAATTAAAACTACACAGAATCATTCGCAGAAACTAGTTTGTGATGTGTGCGTTCAACTCACAGAGTTTAAGGTTTCTTTTCATAGAGCAGTTTGGAAACGCTGTCTTTGTAAAGTCTGCAAGTGGATATTAGGACCTCTTTGAGGCCTTCGTTGGAAACGGGATTTCCTCCTATAATGCTAGACAGAAGAATTCCCAGTCACTTCTTTGTGTTGTGTGCATTCAACTCAGAGATTTGAACCTTCCTTTAGAGAGAGCACATTTGAAACACTCTTTTTGTGTAATTTGCTAGTGCAGATTTCAAGCTCTTCGAGGACAATGGTAGGAAAGGAAATATCTTTGTATTAAAACTAGACAAAATCATTCTCAGAAACTACTTTGTGATGTGTGCGTTCCACTCACAGAGTTTCACCTTTCTTTTAATTGAGCAGTTTGGAAACACTCTCTTTGTAAAGTCTGCAGTAGGATATTTGGACCTCTTTGAGGCCTTTGTTGGAAACAGGATTTCTTCATATAATGCTAGATAGAAGAATTCTCAGTGACTTGTTTGTGTTGTGTGTATTCAACTAACAGAGTTGAACCTTCCTTTAGAAAGAGCAGTTTTCAAACACTCTGTTTGTGCAATTTCCAATGGAGATTTCTAGGGATTTGAGGCCAGTCTTAGAAATGGAATTATCTTTGTATAAAAACTAAACAGTGTCATTCTGAGATACTACCTTGTGATGTGTGCGTTCCACTCACAGAGTTTAACCTTTCTTTTCATAGAGCAGTTTGGAAACACTCTATTTGTAAAGTCTGCAAGTGGATATTTGGACCTCTTTGAGGCCTTCGTTGGAAACGGGATTTCTTCCTATAATGCTAGACAGAAGTATTCTCAGTCACTTCTTTGTGTTGTGTGCATTCAACTCAGAGATTTGAACCTTCCTTTAGAGAGAGCACATTTGAAACACTCTTTTTGTGTAATTTGCTAGTGCAGATTTCAAGCTCTTCGAGGACAATGGTAGAAAAGGAAATATCTTCGTTTGAAAACTAGACAAACTCATTCTCAGAAACTACTTTGTGATATGTGTGCATTCCACTCACAGAGTTTAACCATTCTTTTAATTGAGCAGTTTGGAAACACTATTTTTGTAAAGTCTGCAAGTGGATATTTGGACTTCTTTGAGCCCTTCGTTGGAAACGGGATTTCTCCATATACTGCTAGACCGAAGAATTTTCAGTAACTACTTTGTGTTGTGTGTATTCAACTCACAGATTTGAACCTTTCTTTAGACAGAGCAGATTTGAAACGCTCTTCTCGTGGCTTTTGCATGTGGAGGTTTCAAACGATTTGAGGCCAATGGTAGAAAAGGAAATATCTTCGTTTAAAAACTAGACAGAATCATTCTCAGAAATTACTTTCTGATGTGTGCGTGCAACTCACGGAGATGAACCTTTCTTTTCATAGAGCAGTTTGGAAAGACTCTGTCTGTAAGGTCTGCAAGTGGATATTTAGATTTCTGTGAGGCCTTCGTTGCAAATGGGATTTCTTCATATACTCACAGACAGAAGAATTCTCAGTAACTACTTTGTGTTGTGTGCATTCAACTCACAGAGTTGAACCTTCCTTTATTCAGAGCAGTTTTGAAACACTCTTTTTGTGGAATTTGCAACTGGAGATTTCAAGGGATTTGAGGCCAATCTTAGAAATGGAAATATCTTCGAATTAAAACTACACAGAATCATTCGCAGAAACTAGTTTGTGATGTGTGCGCTCAACTCACAGAGTTTAAGGTTTCTTTTCATAGAGCAGTTTGGAAACGCTGTCTTTGTAAAGTCTGCAAGTGGATATTAGGACCTCTTTGAGGCCTTCGTTGGAAACGGGATTTCCTCCTATAATGCTAGACAGAAGAATTCCCAGTCACTTCTTTGTGTTGTGTGCATTCAACTCAGAGATTTGAACCTTTCTTTAGAGAGAGCACATTTGAAACACTCTTTTTGTGTAATTTTCTATTGCAGATTTCAAGCTCTTCGAGGACAATGGTAGGAAAGGAAATATCTTCGTATGAAAACTAGACAAAATCATTCTCAGAAACTACTTTGTGATGTGTGCGTTCCACTCACAGAGTTTAACCTTTCTTTTAATTGAGCAGTTTGGAAACACTCTCTTTGTAAGGTCTGTAGTAGGATATTTGGACCTCTTTGAGGCCTTCGTTGGAAACGGGATTTCTTCATATAATGCTAGATAGAAGAGTTCTCAGTAACTTGTTTGTGTTGTGTGTATTCAACTAACAGAGTTGAAACTTCCTTTAGAAAGAGCAGTTTTCAAACACTCTGTTTGTGCAATTTCCAATGGAGATTTCTAGGGATTTGAGGCCAGTCTTAGAAATGGAAATATCTTTGTATAAAAACTAGACAGGTGTCATTCTGAGATACTACCTTGTGATGTGTGCGTTCAACTCACAGAGTTTAACCTTTCTTTTCATAGAGCAGTTTGGAAACACTCTATTTGTAAAGTCTGCAAGTGGATATTTGGACCTCTTTGAGGCCTTCGTTGGAAACGGGATTTCTTCCTATAATGCTAGACAGAAGTATTCTCAGTCACTTCTTTGTGTTGTGTGCATTCAACTCAGAGATTTGAACCTTCCTTTAGAGAGAACACATTTGAAACACTCTTTTTGTGTAATTTGCTAGTGCAGATTTCAAGCTCTTCGAGGACAATGGTAGAAAAGGAAATATCTTCGTATGAAAACTAGACAAAATCATTCTCAGAAACTACTTTGTGATGTGTGCGTTCCACTCACAGAGTTTAACCTTTCTTTTAATTGAGCAGTTTGGAAACACTATTTTTGTAAAGTCTGCAAGTGGATATTTAGACTTCTTTGAGCCCTTCGTTGGAAACGGGATTTCTCCATATACTGCTAGACCGAAGCATTTTCAGTAACTACTTTGTGTTGTGTGTATTCAACTCACAGATTTGAACCTTTCTTTAGACAGAGCAGATTTGAAACGCTCTTTTCGTGGCTTTTGCATGTGGAGGTTTCAAACGATTTGAGGCCAATGGTAGAAAAGGAAATATCTTCGTATAAAAACTAGAGAGAATCATTCTCAGAAATTACTTTCTGATGTGTGTGTGCAACTCACGGAGATTAACCTTTCTTTTCATAGAGCAGTTTGGAAAGACTCTGTCTGTAAGGTCTGCAAGTGGATATTTAGATTTCTGGGAGGCCTTCGTTGCAAACGGGATTTCTTCATATACTCACAGACAGAAGAATTCTCAGTAACTCTTTGTGTTGTGTGCATTCAACTCACGGAGTTGAACCTTCCTTTATTCAGAGCAGTTTTGAAACACTCTTTTTGTGGAATTTGCAAGTGGAGATTTCAAGGGATTTGAGGCCAATCTTAGAAATGGAAATATCTTCGAATTAAAACTACACAGAAATCGTTCGCAGAAACTAGTTTGTGATGTGTGCGTTCAACTCACAGAGTTTAACGTTTCTTTTCATAGAGCAGTTTGGAAACGCTCTCTTTGTAAAGTCTCCAAGTGGATATTTGGAGCTGTTTGAGCCCTTCGTTGGAAACGGGACTTCTTCATATAATGCTAGACAGAAGAATACTCAGTAACTTCTTTGTGCTGTGTGTATTCAACTCACAGAGTTGAACTTTTCTTTAGACAGAGCAGATTTGATACTCTCTTTTCGTGGCTTTTGCCAGAGGAGATTTCAAGTCATTGGAGGCCAATGGTAGAAAAGAAAATATCTTCGTATAATAACTAAACAGAATCATTCTCAGAAACTTCTTTGTGATGTGTGCATTCAACTCACAGAATTTAACCATTCTTTTCATAGAGCAGGTTGGAAGCACTCTCTTTGTAAAGTCTGCAAGCAGATATTTGGACCTTTTCGAGGCCTTCGTTGGAAACGGGATTTCTTCATATACTGCTAGACCGAAGAATTCTCAGTAACTTCTTTGGGTTGTGTGTATTCAATTCACAGAGTTGAACCTTTCTTTAGACAGAGCAGATTTGAAACTCTCCTTTCGTTGCTTTTGCAAGTGGAGATTTCAAGCGATTTGAGGCCAATTGTAGAAAAGGAAATATCTTCGTATAAAAACTAGACAGAACAGTTCTCAGAAACAGCTCTGTGATTTGTGCGTTCAACTCACAGATTTTAAACTTTCTTTTCATAGAGCAGTTTGGAAACACTCTTTTTGTAAAGTCTGCAAGCGGATATTTGGACCTCTTTCAGGCCTTCTTTGGAAACGGGATTTCTCCATATACTGCTAGCCCGAAGCATTTTCAGTAACTACTTTGTGTTGTGTGTATTCAACTCACAGATTTGAACCTTTCTTTAGACAGAGCAGATTTGAAACGCTCTTTTCGTGGCTTTTGCAAGTAAAGATTTCAAGCGATTTGAGGCCAATGGTAGAAAAGGAAATATCTTCGTATAAAAACTAGACAGAATCGTTCTCAGAATCTACTTTGTGATGTGTGCGTGCAACTCACGGAGATTAACCTTTCTTTTCATAGAGAAGTTTGGAAAGAGTCTGTCTGTAAGGTCTGCAAGTGGATATTTAGATTTCTGTGAGGCCTTCGTTGCAAACGGGATTTCTTCATATACTGCCCGACAGAAGAATTCCCAGTTACTACTTTCTGCTGTGTGCATTCAACTCACAGAGTTGAACCTTCCTTTATTCAGAGCAGTTTTGAAACACTCTTTTTGTGGAATTTGCAAGTGGAGATTTCAAGGGATTTGAGGCCAATCTTAGAAATGGAAATATCTTCAAATTAAAACTACACAGAATCATTCGCAGAAACTAGTTTGTGATGTGTGCGTTCAACTCACAGAGTTTAACGTTTCTTTTCATAGAGCAGTTTGGAAACGCTGTCTTTGTAAAGTCTGCAAGTGGATATTAGGACCTCTTTGAGGCCTTCGTTGGAAACGGGATTTCCTCCTATAATGCTGGACAGAAGAATTCCCAGTCACTTCTTTGTGTTGTGTGCATTCAACTCAGAGATTTGAACCTTCCTTTAGAGAGAGCACGTTTAAAACACTCTTTTTGTGTAATTTGCTAGTGCAGATTTCAAGCTCTTCGAGGACAATGGTAGGAAAGGAAATATCTTCGTATTAAAACTAGACAAAATCATTCTCAGAAACTACTTTGTGATGTGTGCGTTCCACTCACAGAGTTTAACCTTTCTTTTAATTGAGCAGTTTGGAAACACTCTCATTGTAAAGTCTGCAGTAGGATATTTGGACCTCTTTGAGGCCTTCGTTGGAAACGGGATTTCTTCATATAATGCTAGATAGAAGAATTCTCAGTAACTTTTTTGTGTTGTGTGTATTCAACTAACAGAGTTGAACCTTCCTTTAGAAAGAGCAGTTTTCAAACACTCTGTTTGTGCAATTTCCAATGGAGATTTCTAGGGATTTGAGGCCAGTCTTAGAAATGGAAATATCTTTGTATAAAAACTAGACAGTGTCATTCTGAGATACAACCTTGTGATGTGTGCGTTCAACTCACAGAGTTTAACCTTTCTTTTCATAGAGCAGTTTGGAAACACTCTATTTGTAAAGTCTGCAAGTGGATATTTGGACCTCTTTGAGGCCTTCATTGGAAACGGGATTTCTTCCTATAATGCTAGACAGAAGTATTCTCAGTCACTTCTTTGTGTTGTGTGCATTCAACTCAGAGATTTGAACCTTCCTTTAGAGAGAGCACATTTGAAACACTCTTTTTGTGTAATTTGCTAGTGCAGATTTCAAGCTCTTCGAGGACAATGGTAGAAAAGGAAATATCTTCGTATGAAAACTAGACAAACTCATTCTCAGAAACTACTTTGTGATGTGTGCGTTCCACTCACAGAGTTTAACCTTTCTTTTAATTGAGCAGTTTGGAAACACTATTTTTGTAAGGTCTGCAAGTGGATATTTGGACTTCTTTGAGCCCTTCGTTGGAAACGGGATTTCTCCATATACTGCTAGACCGAAGCATTTTCAGTAACTACTTTGTGTTGTGTGTATTCAACTCACAGATTTGAACCTTTCTTTAGACAGAGCAGATTTGAAACGCTCTTTTCGTGGCTTTTGCATGTGGAGGTTTCAAACGATTTGAGGCCAATGGTAGAAAAGGAAATATCTTCGTATAAAAACTAGAGAGAATCATTCTCAGAAATTACTTTCTGATGTGTGTGTGCAACTCACGGAGATTAACCTTTCTTTTCATAGAGCAGTTTGTTAAGACTCTGTCTGTAAGGTCTGCAAGTGGATAGTTAGATTTCTGTGAGGCCTTGCGTTGCAAACGGGATTTCTTCATATACTCACAGACAGAAGAATTCTCAGTAACTTCTTTGTGTTGTGTGTATTCAACTCACAGAGTTAAACCTTCCTTTATTAGGAGCAGTTTTGAAACACTCTTTTTGTGGAATTTGCAAGTGGAGATTTCAAGCGATTTGAGGGCAATCTTAGAAATGGAAATATCTTCGAATTAGTACTACACAGAATCGTTCGCAGAAACTAGTTTGTGATGTGTGCGTTCAACTCACAGAGTTTAACGTTTCTTTTCATAGAGCAGTTTGGAAACGCTCTCTTTGTAAAGTCTCCAAGTGGATATTTGGAGCTCTTTGAGCCCTTCGTTGGAAACGGGACTTCTTCATATAATGCTAGACAGAAGAATACTCAGTAACTTCTTTGTGCTGTGTGTATTCAACTCACAGCAGTTGAACTTTTCTTTAGACAGAGCAGATTTGATACTCTCTTTTCATGGGTTTTGCCAGAGGAGATTTCAAGTCATTGGAGGCCAATGGTAGAAAAGAAAATATCTTCGTATAATAACTAAACAGAATCATTCTCAGAAACTTCTTTGTGATGTGTGCGTTCAACTCACAGAGTTTAACCTTTCTTTTCATAGAGCAGGTTGGAAGCACTCTCTTTGTAAAGTCTGCAAGCAGATATTTGGACCTTTTTGAGGCCTTCGTTGGAAACGGGATTTCTTCATATACTGCTAGACCGAAGAATTCTCAGTAACTTCTTTTGGTTGTGTGTATGCAATTCACAGCGTTGAACCTTTCTTTAGACCGAGCAGATTTGAAACTCTCCTTTCGTTGCTTTTGCAAGTGGAGATTTCAAGCGATTTGAGGCCAATTGTAAAAAAGGAAATATCTTCGTATAAAAACTAGACAGAACAATTCTCAGAAACTGCTCTGTGATTTGTGCGTTCAACTCACAGATTTTAAACTTTCTTTTCATAGAGCAGTTTGGAAGCACTCTTTTTGTAAAGTCTGCAAGCGGATATTTGGACCTCTTTCAGGCCTTCTTTGGAAACGGGATTTCTCCATATACTGCTAGCCCGAAGAATTTTCAGTAACTACTTTGTGTTGTGTGTATTCAACTCACAGATTTGAACCTTTCTTTAGACCGAGCAGATTTGAAACGCTCTTTTCGTGGCTTTTGCAAGTAAAGATTTCAAGCGATTTGAGGCCAATGGTAGAAAAGGAAATATCTTCGTATAAAAACTAGACAGAATCGTTCTCAGAATCTACTTTGTGATGTGTGCGTGCAACTCACGGAGATTAACCTTTCTTTTCATAGAGAAGTTTGGAAAGAGTCTGTCTGTAAGGTCTGCAAGTGGATATTTAGATTTCTGTGAGGCCTTCGTTGCAAACGGGATTTCTTCATATACTGCCCGACAGAAGAATTCTGTTACTACTTTCTGTTGTGTGCATTCAACTCA
Organism: Homo sapiens; assembly: GCF_000001405.40. NCBI lineage: Eukaryota > Metazoa > Chordata > Mammalia > Primates > Hominidae > Homo > Homo sapiens. Next base: position 39,916,071 of record NC_000010.11, read on the forward strand.
CAGAGTTGAACCTTCCTATATTCAGAGCAGTTTTGAAACACTCTTTTTGTGGAATTTGCAAGTGGAGATTTCAAGGGATTTGAGGCCAATCTTAGAAATGGAAATATCTTCGAATTAAAACTACACAGAATCATTCGCAGAAACTAGTTTGTGATGTGTGCGTTCAACTCACACAGTTTAACGTTTCTTTTCATAGAGCAGTTTGGAAACGCTGTCTTTGTAAAGTCTGCAAGTGGATATTAGGACCTCTTTGAGGCCTTCGTTGGAAACGGGATTTCCTCCTATAATGCTAGACAGAAGAATTCCCAGTCACTTCTTTGTGTTGTGTGCATTCAACTCAGAGATTTGAACCTTCCTTTAGAGAGAGCACATTTGAAACACTCTTTTTGTGTAATTTGCTAGTGCAGATTTCAAGCTCTTCGAGGACAATGGTAGGAAAGGAAATATCTTTGTATTAAAACTAGACAAAATCATTCTCAGAAACTACTTTGTGATGTGTGCGTTCCACTCACAGAGTTTAACCTTTCTTTTAATTGAGCAGTTTGGAAACACTCTCTTTGTAAAGTCTGCAGTAGGATATTTGGACCTCTTTGAGGCCTTCGTTGGAAACGAGATTTCTTCATATAATGCTAGATAGAAGAATTCTCAGTAACTTGTTTGTGTTGTGTGTATTCAACTAACAGAGTTGAACCTTCCTTTAGAAAGAGCAGTTTTCAAACACTCTGTTTGTGCAATTTCCAATGGAGATTTCTCGGGATTTGAGGCCAGTCTTAGAAATGGAAATATCTTTGTATAAAAACTAGACAGTGTCATTCTGAGATACTACCTTGTGATGTGTGCGTTCAACTCACAGAGTTTAACCTTTCTTTTCATAGAGCAGTTTGGAAACACTCTATTTGTAAAGTCTGCAAGTGGATATTTGGACCTCTTTGAGGCCTTCGTTGGAAACGGGATTTCTTCCTATAATGCTAGACAGAAGTATTCTCAGTCACTTCTTTGTGTTGTGTGCATTCAACTCAGAGATTTGAACCTTCCTTTAGAGAGAGCACATTTGAAACACTCTTTTTGTGTAATTTGCTAGTGCAGATTTCAAGCTCTTCGAGGACAATGGTAGAAAAGGAAATATCGTCGTATGAAAACTAGACAAACTCATTCTCAGAAACTACTTTGTGATGTGTGCGTTCCACTCACAGAGTTTAACCTTTCTTTTAATTGAGCTGTTTGGAAACACTATTTTTGTAAAGTCTGCAAGTGGATATTTGGACTTCTTTGAGCCCTTCGTTGGAAAGGGGACTTCTTCATATAATGCTAGACAGAAGCATTTTCAGTAACTACTTTGTGTTGTGTGTATTCAACTCACAGATTTGAACCTTTCTTTAGACAGAGCAGATTTGAAACGCTCTTTTCGTGGCTTTTGCATGTGGAGGTTTCAAACGATTTGAGGCCAATGGTAGAAAAGGAAATATCTTCGTATAAAAACTAGAGAGAATCATTCTCAGAAATTACTTTCTGATGTGTGCGTGCAACTCACGGAGATTAACCTTTCTTTTCATAGAGCAGTTTGGAAAGACTCTGTCTGTAAGGTCTGCAAGTGGATATTTAGATTTCTGTGAGGCCTTCGTTGCAAACGGGTTTCTTCATATACTGTCCGACAGAAGAATTCTCAGTAACTACTTTGTGTTGTGTAAATTCAACACACAGAGTTGAACCTTCCTTTATTCAGAGCAGTTTTGAAACACTCTTTTTGTGGAATTTGCAAGTGGAGATTTCAAGGGATTTGAGGCCAATCTTAGAAATGGAAATATCTTCGAATTAAAACTACACAGAATCGTTCGCAGAAACTAGTTTGTGCTGTGTGCGTTCAACTCACAGAGTTTAACGTTTCTTTCCATAGAGCAGTTTGGAAACGCTCTCTTTGTAAAGTCTCCAAGTGGATATTTGGAGCTCTTTGAGCCCTTCGTTGGAAACGGGACTTCTTCATATAATGCTAGACAGAAGAATACTCAGTAACTTCTTTGTGCTGTGTGTATTCAACTCACAGAGTTGAACTTTTCTTTAGACAGAGCAGATTTGATACTCTCTTTTCGTGGCTTTTGCCAGAGGAGATTTCAAGTCATTGGAGGCCAATGGTAGAAAAGAAAATATCTTCGTATAATAACTAAACAGAATCATTCTCAGAAACTTCTTTGTGATGTGTGCGTTCAACTCACAGAGTTTAACCTTTCTTTTCATAGAGCAGGTTGGAAGCACTCTCTTTGTAAAGTCTGCAAGCACATATTTGGACCTTTTTGAGGCCTTCGTTGGAAACGGGATTTCTTCATATACTGCTAGACCGAAGAATTCTCAGTAACTTCTTTGGGTTGTGTGTATTCAATTCACAGAGTTGAACCTTTCTTTAGACCGAGCAGATTTGAAACTCTCCTTTCGTTGCTTTTGCAAGTGGAGATTTCAAGCGATTTGAGGCCAATTGTAGAAAAGGAAATATCTTCGTATAAAAACTAGACAGAACAATTCTCAGAAACTGCTCTGTGATTTTTGCGTTCAACTCACAGATTTTAAACTTTCTTTTCATAGAGCAGTTTGGAAACACTCTTTTTGTAAAGTCTGCAAGCGGATATTTGGACCTCTTTCAGGCCTTCTTTGGAAACGGGATTTCTCCATATACTGCTAGCCCGAAGCATTTTCAGTAACTACTTTGTGTTGTGTGTATTCAACTCACAGATTTGAACCTTTCTTTAGACAGAGCAGATTTGAAACGCTCTTTTCGTGGCTTTTGCAAGTAAAGATTTCAAGCGATTTGAGGCCAATGGTAGAAAAGGAAATATCTTCGTATAAAAACTAGACAGAATCATTCTCAGAATCTACTTTGTGATGTGTGCGTGCAACTCACGGAGATTAACCTTTCTTTTCATAGAGAAGTTTGGAAAGAGTCTGTCTGTAAGGTCTGCAAGTGGATATTTAGATTTCTGTGAGGCCTTTGTTGCAAACGGGATTTCTTCATATACTGCCCGACGGAAGAATTCTCAGTTACTACTTTCTGTTGTGTGCATTCAACTCACAGAGTTGAACCTTCCTTTATTCAGAGCAGTTTTGAAACACTCTTTTTGTGGAATTTGCAAGTGGAGATTTCAAGGGATTTGAGGCCAATCTTAGAAATGGAAATGTCTTTGAATTAAAACTACACAGAATCATTCGCAGAAACTAGTTTGTGATGTGTGCGTTCAACTCACAGTGTTTAACGTTTCTTTTCATAGAGCAGTTTGGAAACGCTGTCTTTGTAAAGTCTGCAAGTGGATATTAGGACCTCTTTGAGGCCTTCGTTGGAAACGGGATTTCCTCCTATAATGCTAGACAGAAGAATTCCCAGTCACTTCTTTGTGTTGTGTGCATTCAACTCAGACATTTGAACCTTCCTTTAGAGAGAGCACATTTAAAACACTCTTTTTGTGTAATTTGCTAGTGCAGATTTCAAGCTCTTCGAGGACAATGGTAGGAAAGGAAATATCTTCGTATTAAAACTAGACAAAATCATTCTCAGAAACTACTTTGTGATGTGTGCGTTCCACTCACAGAGTTTAACCTTTCTTTTAATTGAGCAGTTTGGAAACACTCTCTTTGTAAAGTCTGCAGTAGGATATTTGGACCTCTTTGAGGCCTTCGTTGGAAACAGGATTTCTTCATATAATGCTAGATAGAAGAGTTCTCAGTAACTTGTTTGTGTTGTGTGTATTCAACTAACAGAGTTGAAACTTCCTTTAGAAAGAGCAGTTTTCAAACACTCTGTTTGTGCAATTTCCAATGGAGATTTCTAGGGATTTGAGGCCAGTCTTAGAAATGGAAATATCTTTGTATAAAAACTAGACAGTGTCATTCTGAGATACTACCTTGTGATGTGTGCGTTCAACTCACAGAGTTTAACCTTTCTTTTCATAGAGCAGTTTGGAAACACTCTATTTGTAAAGTCTGCAATTGGATATTTGGACCTCTTTGAGGCCTTCGTTGGAAACGGGATTTCTTCCTATAATGCTAGACAGAAGTATTCTCTGACACTTCTTTGTGTTGTGTGCATTCAACTCAGAGATTTGAACCTTCCTTTAGAGAGAGCACATTTGAAACACTCTTTTTGTGTAATTTGCTAGTGCAGATTTCAAGCTCTTCGAGGACAATGGTAGAAAAGGAAATATCTTCGTATGAAAACTAGACAAAACAATTCTCAGAAACTGCACTGTGATTTGTGCGTTCAACTCACAGATTTTAAACTTTCTTTTCATAGAGCAGTTTGGAAACACTCTTTTTGTAAAGTCTGCAAGCGGATATTTGGACCTCTTTCAGGCCTTCTTTGGAAACGGGATTTCTCCATATACTGCTAGCCCGAAGCATTTTCAGTAACTACTTTGTGTTGTGTGTATTCAACTCACAGATTTGAACCTTTCTTTAGACAGAGCAGATTTGAAACGCTCTTTTCGTGGCTTTTGCATGTGGAGGTTTCAAACGATTTGAGGCCAATGGTAGAAAAGGAAATATCTTCGTATAAAAACTAGAGAGAATCATTCTCAGAAATTACTTTGTGATGTGTGCGTGCAACTCACGGAGATTAACCTTTCTTTTCATAGAGCAGTTTGGAAAGACTCTGTCTGTAAGGTCTGCAAGTGAATATTTAGATTTCTGTGAGGCCTTCGTTGCAAACGGGATTTCTTCATATACTCACAGACAGAAAGAATTCTCAGTTACTACTTTCTGTTGTGTGCATTCAACTCACAGAGTTGAACCTTCCTTTATTCAGAGCAGTTTTGAAACACTCTTTTTGTGGCATTTGCAAGTGGAGATTTCAAGGGATTTGAGGCCAATCTTAGAAATGGAAATATCTTCGAATTAAAACTACGCAGATCGTTCGCAGAAACTAGTTTGTGATGTGTGCGTTCAACTCACAGAGTTTAACGTTTCTTTTCATAGAGCAGTTTGGAAACGCTCTCTTTGTAAAGTCTCCAAGTGGATATTTGGAGCTCTTTGAGCCCTTCGTTGGAAACGGGACTTCTTCATATAATGCTAGACAGAAGAATACTCAGTAACTTCTTTGTGCTGTGTGTATTCAACTCACAGAGTTGAACTTTTCTTTAGACAGAGCAGATTTGATACTCTCTTTTCGTGGCTTTTGCCAGAGGAGATTTCAAGTCATTGGAGGCCAATGGTAGAAAAGAAAATATCTTCGTATAATAACTAAACAGAATCATTCTCAGAAACTTCTTTGTGATGTGTGCGTTCAACTCACAGAGTTTAACCTTTCTTTTCATAGAGCAGGTTGGAAGCACTCTCTTTGTAAAGTCTGCAAGCAGATATTTGGACCTTTTCGAGGCCTTCGTTGGAAACGGGATTTCTTCATATACTGCTAGACCGAAGAATTCTCAGTAACTTCTTTGGGTTGTGTGTATTCAATTCACAGAGTTGAACCTTTCTTTAGACCGAGCAGATTTGAAACTCTCCTTTCGTTGCTTTTGCAAGTGGAGATTTCAAGCGATTTGAGGCCAATTGTAGAAAAGGAAATATCTTCGTATAAAAACTAGACAGAACAATTCTCAGAAACTGCCCTGTGATTTGTACGTTCAACTCACAGATTTTAAACTTTCTTTTCATAGAGCAGTTTGGAAACACTCTTTTTGTAAAGTCTGCAAGCGGATATTTGGACCTCTTTCAGGCCTTCTTTGGAAACGGGATTTCTCCATATACTGCTAACCCGAAGCATTTTCAGTAACTACTTTGTGTTGTGTGTATTCAACTCACAGATTTGAACCTTTCTTTAGACAGAGCAGATTTGAAACGCTCTTTTCGTGGCTTTTGCAAGTAAAGATTTCAAGCGATTTGAGGCCAATGGTAGAAAAGGAAATATCTTCGTATAAAAACTAGACAGAATCATTCTCAGAATCTACTTTGTGATGTGTGCGTGCAACTCACGGAGATTAACCTTTCTTTTCATAGAGAAGTTTGGAAACACTCTGTCTGTAAGGTCTGCAAGTGGATATTTAGATTTCTGTGAGGCCTTCGTTGCAAACGGGATTTCTTCATATACTGCCCGACAGAAGAATTCTCAGTTACTACTTTCTGTTGTGTGCATTCAACTCACAGAGTTGAACCTTCCTTTATTCAGAGCAGTTTTGAAACACTCTTTTTGTGGCATTTGCAAGTGGAGATTTCAAGGGATTTGAGGCCAATCTTAGAAATGGAAATATGTTCGAATTAAAACTACGCAGAATCATTCGCAGAAACTAGTTTGTGATGTGTGCGTTCAACTCACAGAGTTTAACGTTTCTTTTCATAGAGCAGTTTGGAAACGCTGTCTTTGTAAAGTCTGCAAGTGGATATTAGGACCTCTTTGAGGCCTTCGTTGGAAACGGGATTTCCTCCTATAATGCTAGACAGAAGAATTCCCAGTCACTTCTTTGTGTTGTGTGCATTCAACTCAGAGATTTGAACCTTCCTTTAGAGAGAGCACATTTAAAACACTCTTTTTGTGTAATTTGCTAGTGCAGATTTCAAGCTCTTCGAGGACAATGGTAGGAAAGGAAATATCTTCGTATTAAAACTAGACAAAATCATTCTCAGAAACTACTTTGTGATGTGTGCGTTCCACTCACAGAGTTTAACCTTTCTTTTAATTGAGCAGTTTGGAAACACTCTCTTTGTAAAGTCTGCAGTAGGATATTTGGACCTCTTTGAGGCCTTCGTTGGAAACGGGATTTCTTCATATAATGCTAGATAGAAGAGTTCTCAGTAACTTGTTTGTGTTGTGTGTATTCAACTAACAGAGTTGAACCTTCCTTTAGAAAGAGCAGTTTTCAAACACTCTGTTTGTGCAATTTCCAATGGAGATTTCTAGGGATTTGAGGCCAGTCTTAGAAATGGAAATATCTTTGTATAAAAACTAGACAGTGTCATTCTGAGATACTACCTTGTGATGTGTGTGTTCAACTCACAGAGTTTAACCTTTCTTTTCATAGAGCAGTTTGGAAACACTCTATTTGTAAAGTCTGCAAGTGGATATTTGGACCTCTTTGAGGCCTTCGTTGGAAACGGGATTTCTTCCTATAATGCTAGACAGAAGTATTCTCAGTCACTTCTTTGTGTTGTGTGCATTCAACTCAGAGATTTGAACCTTCCTTTAGAGAGAGCACATTTGAAACACTCTTTTTGTGTAATTTGCTAGTGCAGATTTCAAGCTCTTCGAAGACAATGGTAGGAAAGGAAATATCTTCGTATGAAAACTAGACAAACTCATTCTCAGAAACTACTTTGTGATGTGTGCGTTCCACTCACAGAGTTTAACCTTTCTTTTAATTGAGCAGTTTGGAAACACTATTTTTGTAAAGTCTGCAAGTGGATATTTGGACTTCTTTGAGCCCTTCGTTGGAAACGGGATTTCTCCATATACTGCTAGACCGAAGCATTTTCAGTAACTACTTTGTGTTGTGTGTATTCAACTCACAGATTTGAACCTTTCTTTAGACAGAGCAGATTTGAAACGCTCTTTTCGTGGCTTTTGCATGTGGAGGTTTCAAACGATTTGAGGCCAATGGTAGAAAAGGAAATATCTTCGTATAAAAACTAGAGAGAATCATTGTCAGAAATTACTTTCTGATGTGTGCGTGCAACTCACGGAGATTAACCTTTCTTTTCATAGAGCAGTTTGGAAAGACTCTGTCTGTAAGGTCTGCAAGTGGATATTTAGATTTCTGTGAGGCCTTCGTTGCAAACGGGATTTCTTCATATACTCACAGACAGAAGAATTCTCAGTAACTCTTTGTGTTGTGTGCATTCAACTCACGGAGTTGAACCTTCCTTTATTCAGAGCAGTTTTGAAACACTCTTTTTGTGGAATTTGCAAGTGGAGATTTCAAGGGATTTGAGGCCAATCTTAGAAATGGAAATATCTTCGAATTAAAACTACACAGAATCGTTCGCAGAAACTAGTTTGTGATGTGTGCGTTCAACTCACAGAGTTTAACGTTTCTTTTCATGGAGCAGTTTGGAAACGCTCTCTTTGTAAAGTCTCCAAGTGGATATTTGGAGCTGTTTGAGCCCTTCGTTGGAAACGGGACTTCTTCATATAATTCTAGACAGAAGAATACTCAGTAACTTCTTTGTGCTGTGTGTATTCAACTCACAGAGTTGAACTTTTCTTTAGACAGAGCAGATTTGATACTCTCTTTTCGTGGCTTTTGCCAGAGGAGATTTCAAGTCATTGGAGGCCAATGGTAGAAAAGAAAATATCTTCGTATAATAACTAAACAGAATCATTCTCAGAAACTTCTTTGTGATGTGTGCGTTCAACTCACAGAGTTTAACCTTTCTTTTCATAGAGCAGGTTGGAAGCACTCTCTTTGTAAAGTCTGCATGCAGATATTTGGACTTTTGAGGCCTTCGTTGGAAACGGGATTTCTTCATATACTGCTAGACCGAAGAATTCTCAGTAACTTCTTTTGGTTGTGTGTATGCAATTCACAGCGTTGAACCTTTCTTTAGACCGAGCAGATTTGAAACTCTCCTTTCGTTGCTTTTGCAAGTGGAGATTTCAAGCGATTTGAGGCCAATTGTAAAAAAGGAAATATCTTCGTATAAAAACTAGACAGAACAATTCTCAGAAACTGCTCTGTGATTTGTGCGTTCAACTCACAGATTTTAAACTTTCTTTTCATAGAGCAGTTTGGAAACACTCTTTTTGTAAAGTCTGCAAGCGGATATTTGGACCTCTTTCAGGCCTTCTTTGGAAACGGGATTTCTCCATATACTGCTAGCCCGAAGCATTTTCAGTAACTACTTTGTGTTGTGTGTATTCAACTCACCGATTTGAACCTTTCTTTAGACAGAGCAGATTTGAAACGCTCTTTTCGTGGCTTTTGCAAGTAAAGATTTCAAGCGATTTGAGGCCAATGGTAGAAAAGGAAATATCTTCGTATAAAAACTAGACAGAATCATTCTCAGAATCTACTTTGTGATGTGTGCGTGCAACTCACGGAGATTAACCTTTCTTTTCATAGAAGGGTTTGGAAACACTCTGTCTGTAAGGTCTGCAAGTGGATATTTAGATTTCTGTGAGGCCTTCGTTGCAAACGGGATTTCTTCATATACTGCCCGACAGAAGAATTCTCAGTTACTACTTTCAGTTGTGTGCATTCAACTCACAGAGTTCAACCTTCCTTTATTCAGAGCAGTTTTGAAACACTCTTTTTGTGGAATTTGCAAGTGGAGATTTCAAGGGATTTGAGGCCAATCTTAGAAATGGAAATATCTTCGAATTAAAACTACACAGAATCATTCGCAGAAACTAGTTTGTGATGTGTGCGTTCAACTCACAGAGTTTAACGTTTCTTTTCATAGAGCAGTTTGGAAACGCTGTCTTTGTAAAGTCGGCAAGTGGATATTAGGACCTCTTTCAGGCCTTCGTTGGAAACGGGATTTCCTCCTATAATGCTAGACAGAAGAATTCCCAGTCACTTCTTTGTGTTGTGTGTATTCAACTCAGAGATTTGAACCTTCCTTTAGAGAGAGCACATTTAAAACACTCTTTTTGTGTAATTTGCTAGTGCAGATTTCAAGCTCTTCGAGGACAATGGTAGAAAAGGAAATATCTTCGTATGAAAACTAGACAAAATCATTCTCAGAAACTACTTTGTGATGTGTGCGTTCCACTCACAGAGTTTAACCTTTCTTTTAATTGAGCAGTTTGGAAACACTCTCTTTGTAAAGTCTGCAGTAGGATATTTGGACCTCTTTGAGGCCTTCGTTGGAAACGGGATTTCTTCATATAATGCTAGATAGAAGAATTCTCAGTAACTCTTTGTGTTGTGTGCATTCAACTCACGGAGTTGACCCTTCTTTTAGACAGAGCAGTTTTAAAACACTCTGTTTGTGGAATTTCTAATGGAGATTTCTAGGGATTTGAGGCCAGTCTTAGAAATGGAAGTATCTTTGTATAAAAACTAGACAGAGTCATTCTGAGATACTACCTTGTGATGTGTGCGTTCAACTCACAGAGTTTAACCTTTGTTTTCATAGAGCAGTTTGGAAACACTCTATTTGTAAAGTCTGCAAGTGGATATTTGGACCTCTTTGAGGCCTTCGTTGGAAACGGGATTTCTTCGTATAATGCTAGACAGAAGTATTCTCAGTCACTTCTTTGTGTTGTGTGCATTCAACTCAGAGATTTGAACCTTCCTTTAGAGAGAGCACATTTGAAACACTCTTTTTGTGTAATTTGCTAGTGCAGATTTCAAGCTCTTCGAGGACAATGGTAGAAAAGGAAATATCTTCGTATGAAAACTAGACAAACTCATTCTCAGAAACTACTTTGTGATGTGGGCGTTCCACTCACAGAGTTTAACCTTTCTTTTAATTGAGCAGTTTGGAAACACTATTTTTGTAAAGTCTGCAAGTGGATATTTGGACTTCTTTGAGCCCTTCGTTGGAAACGGGATTTCTCCATATACTGCTAGACCGAAGCATTTTCAGTAACTACTTTGTGTTGTGTGTATTCAACTCACAGATTTGAACCTTTCTTTAGACAGAGCAGATTTGAAACGCTCTTTTCGTGGCTTTTGCATGTGGAGGTTTCAAACGATTTGAGGCCAATGGTAGAAAAGGAAATATCTTCGTATAAAAACTAGAGAGAATCATTCTCAGAAATTACTTTCTGATGTGTGCGTGCAACTCACGGAGATTAACCTTTCTTTTCATAGAGCAGTTTGGAAAGACTCTGTCTGTAAGGTCTGCAAGTGGATATTTAGATTTCTGTGAGGCCTTCGTTGCAAACGGGATTTCTTCATATACTCACAGACAGAAGAATTCTCAGTAACTCTTTGTGTTGTGTGCATTCAACCCACGGAGTTGAACCTTCCTTTATTCAGAGCAGTTTTGAAACACTCTTTTTGTGGAATTTGCAAGTGGAGATTTCAAGGGATTTGAGGCCAATCTTAGAAATGGAAATATCTTCGAATTAAAACTACACAGAATCGTTCGCAGAAACTAGTTTGTGATGTGTGCGTTCAACTCACAGAGTTTAACGTTTCTTTTCATAGAGCAGTTTGGAAACGCTCTCTTTGTAAAGTCTCCAAGTGGATATTTGGAGCTCTTTGAGCCCTTCGTTGGAAACGGGACTTCTTCATATAATGCTAGACAGAAGAATACTCAGTAACTTCTTTGTGCTGTGTGTATTCAACTCACAGAGTTGAACTTTTCTTTAGACAGAGCAGATTTGATACTCTCTTTTCGTGGCTTTTGCCAGAGGAGATTTCAAGTCATTTGAGGCCAATGGTAGAAAAGAAAATATCTTCGTATAATAACTAAACAGAATCATTCTCAGAAACTTCTTTGTGATGTGTGCGTTCAACTCACAGAGTTTAACCTTTCTTTTCATAGAGCAGGTTGGAAGCACTCTCTTTGTAAAGTCTGCAAGCAGATATTTGGACCTTTTTGAGGCCTTCGTTGGAAACGGGATTTCTTCATATACTGCTAGACCGAAGAATTCTCAGTAACTTCTTTGGGTTGTGTGTATTCAATTCACAGAGTTGAACCTTTCTTTAGACCGAGCAGATTTGAAACTCTCCTTTCGTTGCTTTTGCAAGTGGAGATTCCAAGCGATTTGAGGCCAATTGTAGAAAAGGAAATATCTTCGTACAAAAACTAGACAGAACAATTCTCAGAAACTGCTCTGTGATTTGTGCGTTCAACTCACAGATTTTAAACTTTCTTTTCATAGAGCAGTTTGGAAACACTCTTTTTGTAAAGTCTGCAAGCGGATATTTGGACCTCTTTCAGGCCTTCTTTGGAAACGGGATTTCTCCATATACTGCTAGCCCGAAGCATTTTCAGTAACTACTTTGTGTTGTGTGTATTCAACTCACAGATTTGAACCTTTCTTTAGACAGAGCAGATTTGAAATGCACTTTTCGTGGCTTTTGCAAGTAAAGATTTCAAGCGATTTGAGGCCAATGGTAGAAAAGGAAATATCTTCGTATAAAAACTAGACAGAATCATTCTCAGAATCTACTTTGTGATGTGTGCGTGAAACTCACGGAGATTAACCTTTCTTTTCATAGAGAAGTTTGGAAACACTCTGTCTGTAAGGTCTGCAAGTGGATATTTAGATTTCTGTGAGGCCTTCGTTGCAAACGGGATTTCTTCATATACTGCCCGACAGAAGAATTCTCAGTTACTACTTTCTGCTGTGTGCATTCAACTCACAGAGTTGAACCTTCCTTTATTCAGAGCAGTTTTGAAACACGCTTTTTGTGGAATTTGCAAGTGGAGATTTCAAGGGATTTGAGGCCAATCTTAGAAATGGAAATATCTTCGAATTAAAACTACACAGAATCATTCGCAGAAACTAGTTTGTGATGTGTGCGTTGAACTCACAGAGTTTAACGTTTCTTTTCATAGAGCAGTTTGGAAACTCTGTCTTTTTAAAGTCTGCAAGTGGATATTAGGACCTCTTTGAGGCCTTCGTTGGAAACGGGATTTCCTCCTATAATGCTAGACAGAAGAATTCCCAGTCACTTCTTTGTGTTGTGTGCATTCAACTCAGAGATTTGAACCTTCCTTTAGAGAGAGCACATTTAAAACACTCTTTTTGTGTAATTTGCTAGTGCAGATTTCAAGCTCTTCGAGGACAATGGTAGGAAAGGAAATATCTTCGTATTAAAACTAGACAAAATCATTCTCAGAAACTACTTTGTGATGTGTGCGTTCCACTCACAGACTTTAACCTTTCTTTTAATTGAGCAGTTTGGAAACACTCTCTTTGTAAAGTCTGCAGTAGGATATTTGGACCTCTTTGAGGCCTTCGTTGGAAACGGGATTTCTTCATATAATGCTAGATAGAAGAATTCTCAGTAACTTGTTTGTGTTGTGTGTATTCAACTAACAGAGTTGAACCTTCCTTTAGAAAGAGCAGTTTTCAAACACTCTGTTTGTGCAATTTCCAATGGAGATTTCCAGGGATTTGAGGCCAGTCTTAGAAATGGAAATATCTTTGTATAAAAACTAGACAGTATCATTCTCAGAAATTAGTTTGTGATGTGTGTGTTCAACTCACAGAGTTTAACCTTTCTTTTTATAAAGCAGTTTGGAAACACTCTATTTGTAAAGTCTGCAAGTGGATATTTCTACCTCTTTGAGGCCTTCATTGGAAACGGGATTTTTTCATATAATGATAGACAGAAGTATTCTCAGTCACTTCTTTGTGTTGTGTGCATTCAACTCAGAGATTTGAACCTTCCTTTAGAGAGAGCACATTTGAAACACTCTTTTTGTGTAATTTGCTAGTGCAGATTTCAAGCTCTTCGAGGACAATGGTAGGAAAGGAAATATCTTCGTATAAAAACTAGAGAGACTCATTCTCAGAAACTACTTTGTGATGTGTGCGTTCCACTCACAGAGTTTAACCTTTCTTTTAATTGAGCAGTTTGGAAACACTATTTTTGTAAAGTCTGCAAGTGGATATTTGGACTTCTTTGAGCCCTTCGTTGGAAACGGGATTTCTCCATATACTGCTAGACTGAAGCATTTTCAGTAACTACTTTGTGTTGTGTGTATTCAACTCACAGATTTGAACCTTTCTTTAGACAGAGCAGATTTGAAACGCTCTTTTCGTGGCTTTTGCATGTGGAGGTTTCAAACGATTTGAGGCCAATGGTAGAAAAGGAAATATCTTCGTATAAAAACTAGAGAGAATCATTCTCAGAAATTACTTTCTGATGTGTGTGTGCAACTCACGGAGATTAACCTTTCTTTTCATAGAGCAGTTTGGAAAGACTCTGTCTGTAAGGTCTGCAAGTGGATATTTAGATTTCTGTGAGGCCTTCGTTGCAAACGGGATTTCTTCATATACTCACAGACAGAAGAATTCTCAGTAACTCTTTGTGTTGTGTGCATTCAACTCACGGAGTTGAACCTTCCTTTATTCAGAGCAGTTTTGAAACACTCTTTTTGTGGAATTTGCAAGTGGAGATTTCAAGGGATTTGAGGCCAATCTTAGAAATGGAAATATCTTCGAATTAAAACTACACAGAATCGTTTGCAGAAACTAGTTTGTGATGTGTGCGTTCAACTCACAGAGTTTAACGTTTCTTTTCATAGAGCAGTTTGGAAACGCTCTCTTTGTAAAGTCTCCAAGTGGATATTTGGAGCTCTTTGAGCCCTTCGTTGGAAACGGGACTTCTTCATATAATGCTAGACAGAAGAATACTCAGTAACTTCTTTGTGCTGTGTGTATTCAACTCACAGAGTTGAACTTTTCTTTAGACAGAGCAGATTTGATACTCTCTTTTCGTGGCTTTTGCCAGAGGAGATTTCAACTCATTGGAGGCCAATGGTAGGAAAGAAAATATCTTCGTATAATAACTAAACAGAATCATTCTCAGAAGCTTCTTTGTGATGTGTGCGTTCAACTCACAGAGTTTATCCTTTCTTTTCATAGAGCAGGTTGGAAGCACTCTCTTTGTAAAGTCTGCAAGCAGATATTTGGACCTTTTTGAGGCCTTCGTTGGAAACGGGATTTCTTCATATACTGCTAGACCGAAGAATTCTCAGTAACTTCTTTGGGTTGTGTGTATTCAATTCACAGAGTTGAACCTTTCTTTAGACCAAGCAGATTTGAAACTCTCCTTTCGTTGCTTTTGCAAGTGGAGATTTCAAGCGATTTGAGGCCAATTGTAGAAAAGGAAATATCTTCGTATAAAAACTAGACAGAAGAATTCTCAGAAACTGCTCTGTGATTTGTGCGTTGAACTCACAGATTTTAAACTTTCTTTTCATAGAGCAGTTTGGAAACACTCTTTTTGTAAAGTCTGCAAGCGGATATTTTGACCTCTTTCAGGCCTTCTTTGGAAACGGGATTTCTCCATATACTGCTAGCCCGAAGAATTTTCAGTAACTACTTTGTGTTGTGTGTATTCAACTCACAGATTTGAACCTTTCTTTAGACAGAGCAGATTTGAAACGCTCTTTTCGTGGCTTTTGCAAGTAAAGATTTGAAGCGATTTGAGGCCAATGGTAGAAAAGGAAATATCTTCGTATAAAAACTAGACAGAATCATTCTCAGAATCTACTTTGTGATGTGTGCGTGCAACTCACGGAGATTAACCTTTCTTTTCATAGAGAAGTTTGGAAACACTCTGTCTGTAAGGTCTGCAGGTGGATATTTAGATTTCTGTGAGGCCTTCGTTGCAAACGGGATTTCTTCATATACTGCCCGACAGAAGAATTCTCAGTTACTACTTTCTGTTGTGTGCATTCAACTCACAGAGTTGAACCTTCCTTTATTCAGAGCAGTTTTGAAACACTCTTTTTGTGGAATTTGCAAGTGGAGATTTCAAGGGATTTGAGGCCAATCTTAGAAATGGAAATATCTTCGAATTAAAACTACACAGAATCATTCGCAGAAACTAGTTTGTGATGTGTGCGTTCAACTCACAGAGTTTAACGTTTCTTTTCATAGAGCAGTTTGCAAACGCTGTCTTTGTAAAGTCTGCAAGTGGATATTAGGACCTCTTTGAGGTCTTCCTTGGAAACGGGATTTCCTCCTATAATGCTAGACAGAAGAATTCCCAGTCACTTCTTTGTGTTCTGTGCATTCAACTCAGAGATTTGAACCTTCCTTTAGAGAGAGCACATTTGAAACACTCTTTTTGTGTAATTTGCTAGGGCAGATTTCAAGCTCTTCGAGGACAATGGTAGGAAAGGAAATATCTTCGTATTAAAACTAGACAAAATCATTCTCAGAAACTACTTTGTGATGTGTGCGTTCCACTCACAGAGTTTAAACTTTCTTTTAATTGAGCAGTTTGGAAACACTCTCTTTGTAAAGTCTGCAGTAGGATATTTGGACCTCTTTGAGGCCTTCGTTGGAAACGGGATTTCTTCATATAATGCTAGATAGAAGAATTCTCAGTAACTTGTTTGTGTTGTGTGTATTCAACTAACAGAGTTGAACCTTCCTTTAGAAAGAGCAGTTTTCAAACACTCTGTTTGTGCAATTTCCAATGGAGATTTCTCGGGATTTGAGGCCAGTCTTAGAAATGGAAATATCTTTGTATAAAAACTAGACAGTATCATTCGCAGAAACTAGTTTGTGATGTGTGCGTTCAACTCACAGAGTTTAACGTTTCTTTTCATAGAGCAGTTTGGAAACGCTGTCTTTGTAAAGTCTGCAAGTGGATATTAGGACCTCTTTGAGGCCTTCGTTGGAAACGGGATTTCTTCCTATAATGCTAGACAGAAGTATTCTCAGTCACTTCTTTGTGTTGTGTGCATTCAACTAAGAGATTTGAACCTTCCTTTAGAGAGAGCACATTTGAAACACTCTTTTTGTGTAATTTGCTAATGCAGATTTCAAGCTCTTCGAGGACAATGGTAGAAAAGGAAATATCGTCGTATGAAAACTAGACAAACTCATTCTCAGAAACTACTTTGTGATGTGTGCGTTCCACTCACAGAGTTTAACCTTTCTTTTAATTGAGCAGTTTGGAAACACTATTTTTGTAAAGTCTGCAAGTGGATATTTGGACTTCTTTGAGCCCTTCGTTGGAAACGGGATTTCTCCATATACTGCTAGACCGAAGCATTTTCAGTAACTACTTTGTGTTGTGTGTATTCAACTCACAGATTTGAACATTTCTTTAGACAGAGCAGATTTGAAACGCTCTTTTCGTGGCTTTTGCATGTGGAGGTTTCAAACGATTTGAGGCCAATGGTAGAAAGGGAAATATCTTCGTAAAAAACTAGAGAGAATCATTCTCAGAAATTACTTTCTGATGTGTGCGTGCAACTCACGGAGATTAACCTTTCTTTTCATAGAGCAGTTTGGAAAGACTCTGTCTGTAAGGTCTGCAAGTGGATATTTAGATTTCCGTGAGGCCTTCGTTGCAAACGGGATTTCTTCATATACTCACAGACAGAAGAATTCTCAGTAACTCTTTGTGTTGTGTGCATTCAACTCACGGAGTTGAACCTTCCTTTATTCAGAGCAGTTTTGAAACACTCTTTTTGTGGAATTTGCAAGTGGAGATTTCAAGGGATTTGAGGCCAATCTTAGAAATGGAAATATCTTCGAATTAAAACTACACAGAATCGTTCGCAGAAACTAGTGTGTGATGTGTGCGTTCAACTCACAGAGTTTAACGTTTCTTTTCATAGAGCAGTTTGGAAACGCTCTCTTTGTAAAGTCTCCAAGTGGATATTTGGAGCTGTTTGAGCCCTTCGTTGGAAACGGGACTTCTTCATATAATGCTAGACAGAAGAATACTCAGTAACTTCTTTGTGCTGTGTGTATTCAACTCACAGAGTTGAACTTTTCTTTAGACAGAGCAGATTTGATACTCTCTTTTCGTGGGTTTTGTCAGAGGAGATTTCAAGTCATTGGAGGCCAATGGTAGAAAAGAAAATATCTTCGTATAATAACTAAACAGAATCATTCTCAGAAACTTCTTTGTGATGTGTGCGTTCAACTCACAGAGTTTAACCTTTCTTTTCACAGAGCAGGTTGGAAGCACTCTCTTTGTAAAGTCTGCAAGCAGATATTTGGACCTTTTTGAGGCCTTCGTTGGAAACGGGATTTCTTCATATACTGCTAGACCGAAGAATTCTCAGTAACTTCTTTGGGTTATGTGTATTCAATTCACAGCGTTGAACCTTTCTTTAGACCGAGCAGATTTGAAACTCTCCTTTCGTTGCTTTTGCAAGTGGAGATTTCAAGCGATTTGAGGCCAATTGTAAAAAAGGAAATATCTTCGTATAAAAACTTGACAGAACAATTCTCAGAAACTGCTCTGTGATTTGTGCGTTCAACTCACAGATTTTAAACTTTCTTTTCATAGAGCAGTTTGGAAACACTCTTTTTGTAAAGTCTGCAAGCGGATATTTGGACCTCTTTCAGGCCTTCTTTGGAAACGGGATTTCTCCATATACTGCTAGCCCGAAGAATTTTCAGTAACTACTTTGTGTTGTGTGTATTCAACTCACAGATTTGAACCTTTCTTTAGACAGAGCAGATTTGAAACGCTCTTTTCGTGGCTTTTGCAAGTAAAGATTTCAAGCGATTTGAGGCCAATGGTAGAAAAGGAAATATCTTCGTATAAAAACTAGACAGAATCATTCTCAGAATCTATTTTGTGATGTGTGCGTGCAACTCACGGAGATTAACCTTTCTTTTCATAGAGAAGTTTGGAAACACTCTGTCTGTAAGGTCTGCAAGTGGATATTTAGATTTCTGTGAGGCCTTCGTTGCAAACGGGATTTCTTCATATACTGCCCGACAGAAGAATTCTCAGTTACTACTTTCTGTTGTGTGCATTCAACTCACAGAGTTGAACCTTCCTTTATTCAGAGCAGTTTTGAAACACTCTTTTTGTGGAATTTGCAAGTGGAGATTTCAAGGGATTTGAGGCCAATCTTAGAAATGGAAATATCTTCGAATTAAAACTACACAGAATCATTCGCAGAAACTAGTTTGTGATGTGTGCGTTCAACTCACAGAGTTTAACGTTTCTTTTCATAGAGCAGTTTGGAAACGCTGTCTTTGTAAAGTCTGCAAGTGGATATTAGGACCTCTTTGAGGCCTTCGTTGGAAACGGGATTTCCTCCTATAATGCTAGACAGAAGAATTCCCAGTCACTTCTTTGTGTTGTGTCCATTCAACTCAGAGATTTGAACCTTCCTTTAGAGAGAGCACATTTAAAACACTCTTTTTGTGTAATTTGCTAGTGCAGATTTCAAGCTCTTCGAGGACAATGGTAGGAAAGGAAATATCTTCGTATTAAAACTAGACAAAATCATTCTCAGAAACTACTTTGTGATGTGTGCGTTCCACTCACAGAGTTTAACCTTTCTTTTAATTGAGCAGTTTGGAAACACTCTCTTTGTAAAGTCTGCAGTAGGATATTTGGACCTCTTTGAGGCCTTCGTTGGAAACGGGATTTCTTCATATAATGCTAGATAGAAGAGTTCTCAGTAACGTGTTTGTGTTGTGTGTATTCAACTAACAGAGTTGAAACTTCCTTTAGAAAGAGCAGTTTTCAAACACTCTGTTTGTGCAATTTCCAATGGAGATTTCTAGGGATTTGAGGCCAGTCTTAGAAATGGAAATATCTTTGTTTAAAAACTAGACAGTGTCATTCTGAGATACTACCTTGTGATGTGTGCGTTCAACTCACAGAGTTTAACCTTTCTTTTCATAGAGCAGTTTGGAAACACTCTATTTGTAAAGTCTGCAAGTGGATATTTGGACTTTGAGGCCTTCGTTGGAAACGGGATTTCTTCTTATAATGCTAGACAGAAGTATTCTCAGTCACTTCTTTGTGTTGTGTGCATTCAACTCAGAGATTTGAACCTTCCTTTAGAGAGAGCACATTTGAAACACTCTTTTTGTGTAATTTGCTAGTGCAGATTTCAAGCTCTTCGAGGACAATGGTAGAAAAGGCAATATCTTCGTATGAAAACTAGACAAACTCATTCTCAGAAACTACTTTGTGATGTGTGCGTTCCACTCACAGAGTTTAACCTTTCTTTTAATTGAGCAGTTTGGAAACCCTATTTTTGTAAAGTCTGCAAGTGGATATTTGGACTTCTTTGAGCCCTTCGTTGGAAACGGGATTTCTCTATATACTGCTAGACCGAAGCATTTTCTGTAACTACTTTGTGTTGTGTGTATTCAACTCACAGATTTGAACCTTTCTTTAGACAGAGCAGATTTGAAACGCTCTTTTCGTGGCTTTTGCATGTGGAGGTTTCAAACGATTTGAGGCCAATGGTAGAAAAGGAAATATCTTCGTATAAAAACTAGAGAGA